>NT_187687.1:0-170537 GCF_000001405.40 Homo sapiens | reverse complement strand
GAATTCCCCATGAGTCCTGTGACCTCAGCCCACACGGGGACCTACAGGTGCTACGGCTCACTCAGCTCCGACCCCTACCTGCTGTCTCACCCCAGTGGCCCCGTGGAGCTCGTGGTCTCAGGTGAGGGCGCTGACCCTGTCCTCTCTGAGCTCAAAGGCTCAGCTCAGGCCCTGCCCCCAGCAGAGCTCTGGACACTAAGGAAAGAGGGGAGTGAAGGGAGAGGGTCCGCAGGGGAGGGTCCAGCCCATGGGAAGATGGAAATAGACAGGGACCTCCCACCCCTGGCTCCCACCCCTGAAGTCTCAGTAGAGTAAAGTGCAGGGAGGGCTGGGAGGAGACGGGGGGTGAACCTCAAAGGAGTTGAGATTAGACTGAGGGTGGAAGACGGAGGCCCCACCTGCTCCCATCCTGGTGTCTCCACCTCAGAATCAGAGCCTCTGTGTCCCAGTCCCCAACAGACGCCCTCCTGGAGAGAGAAGCATCCAGGCTGCCGGTGCCACCTGCATCCACCCCCGACCCCCCCCCACCCCGCCCCACTTCCTGCTTTCCCCTGCAGCCTCCCCAGCACTCAGCGCACACCTGAGCCTCACAGGGACTTGCACGTGCTCCCGCAGCAGCTCAGGGAATGTGCACCGCTCCTCTTCTGCGCCGTTGACATTTTTTATTTGGGTTTTTAAAATCTCATATTGGCCTTTTTGTCCAAGCTGGTGAAAGTAGATTTGCAGCATCACCTATTTTTATTCTCACCCGGTTTCGTAATAGCCCTGATCTCACGTGCTCCCTGAGGTTTTGTAAACTTCAGGTAGAAATGTGGACTTCCTTCGTTCTGGACATTTGCTATGGAGGGGGTAGGGCTTATCTTTTCAGAAAAAGTCAAATGACTGGTACCACTCCTTGAAACCCTACAGCACTTTCCAGACCTCAGAGGGAGGGAGAGAGAGGCAGAGACAGAGACAGAGAGACAGAGAGAGAGATATTGGGGCCGCTCTTTCCTGGCCGGTTCATCCTGGCCTATTCTCAATCCACCAAGGCCCCGAAGCTCATCTCCCCTCCTCCTCTGCCTCCTCCTCCACCCTGTAGACAAGCGGCCATTCCTTTCTGAAGAACAGGCTGAGACCTTTCTGGGACCTGCTCTTTCTGGAGCCTCTGTTGCTCCCTGTCTGGGTCTCCACACGCCTCCTTCCTGGCCCTTTTTCCTATTGAGGAATCAGCTTCAATGTCACCTCCAAGTGTGACCTTCACTGACGACACAGCTCAGCCCAGTCCTGCCTGCTTCTCATTTATGTCAAGTAATTAACCAACCTACACCATGCGGCTGAATTCCTTCTCTCTCTCTTCCACTCTCTGCATATACGTGTGTGTGTGTGTGTGCGCGTGTGTGGTCACACCAACATCTTACGTGACATTGAAACCTAGTTATCCGTATATCTATACAAATAATATATATTCACACATAAATATAGGTCTCTACCAATATATCTAAAACCATTGCTACGACTAGTAAATTTCCACTGCTGTGTTTCTATATGTTTGCTGTTTGTCTCCAGGTGAACCCACACTTCAAGAAGGCAGAGATAGTTTTTAAGGCCCACTATATATATAAAACAGATATATATTTGTGTTTGTGTTTTTCTGTGTGTGTATCACATTCTACCTGTTGCTGCCTATACGAATAATTAGCTACCTAGAGATTAAATGGACAATGAAACTCCAGGTGAAGTGGCTGAGGGCATGAAGGGGAGGCAGCCCCAGAATTTCACCCCTTTGTGCTTCTGACATTGAGGCTCCCCTGATGACTAACCCTCATCCACGGAGCCTGGGTCCTCAGCTGGTGGATCCGTGAAACTCTCATCTCCGGGGGAGTTGGCTCATGTTCTCCTGTGTCCCAGGCTGCACAGAGAGCACACAGGCCTTAGTGACCTCTGTACTGGGGACCACTTTCCTTGCAGATCCTGAGCTCTCAGGATGCAGGAAAACTCTCTCCCAGATGACTCAGGAGCAATGTTTAAATCCATAGAACACAGGAAAACTGAAATCGTTCAATGAGGAGACTAGAGGGAATCCTGCTAGCGGAGGAAGAGGTTTTTTTTTTTTTTTTTTAGAAATTCTGTAAAAGTCACATCATGAGACATTAAGTAATAAAAAAAAAATTGCAGAGCCCAGGTGAGAGGCTGGGCTCAGGTCTCTTTTTCTCTGTTTTGATTCTCTGGAGCAGCTGATACCCTCAGCCCATCACAAAACAAGTCTGACTCTGAGACTGGTATGTGAGGAGATACTCTCAGTGATGGGGCTGGCACTGAGGGTTGGGTCCTGTGAAGGGGAGGTGGGTGCCCTGGGTGGACAATCTGATCCACCCTGACCTCTGTGACCTCTTTGTCCACCATCCCCAGCCTCACACCTTCAGGATTACGCAGTGGAGAATCTCATCCACATGGGCGTGGCTGGCTTGATCCTGGTGGTCCTCGGGATTCTGTCATTTGAGGCTTGGCACAGCCAGAGAAGCTTCCCAAGATGCAGCCGGGAGGTGAACAGCAGAGAGGATAATGTACTTTATAGAGTCGTGAAGCCTCAGGAACAGATCTGATGATCCCAGGAGGTTCTGGAAGAAAATCTAGGGCCGATGCTATCTGGACTGTCTGCTGGTCATTTCCAGAGGAAGGAATCAATGTCCGAGTGCAGGGACATTTTCTGGGGTGATCCATGGAGAACCATTAAAATGTGATACCTTTCCTCTCCATTAATGTTGACTTTCCTTGGTTGGATCTGCCTCTTTTCCCACACTTAGACATGAGGCTCCATCCCACATGGCAGCGTTGGGTCCACACCTCTGCACACCTGCATGCTCTGGTCCATGGCGTGTCACACAGTCCTCTTCATTTCTCATTGCCACACTTCCTGGTGTACTTTACTGGGTCTTCATGTCTTCAGTTCAGAGTTCCGCACCTGGTTTAGGAACTAATTCAACGGGAGAAGATCAGAGTCCGACCAGGAAAAGATAAATGCACCGTGATGCCCTCACCTCCTGTGTGGACCCTATGAGCTCTTCCCTCCTTATCAGATGCTATCTGTGTAGTTTCTCCTGAAATATCACCACCTGGAATCAACACACTGGCATTTGAAGTCACGACCCAATGGTATGCTAATTCTGAAAAAGACATTTTTTGAAATGCTATGATTAGTGGCATTTACCAATTTCCTTGACGTAAATTCTTTTTTCATGGCCATAATCAAGATGCCAACGAGACATCCCTGAATGCAGGGTTGGGAAGCGTTGGACAGACTTGTCTTCACTCATAAGCACCAGGCATCTGATAGCTCACGTATACATCTTATTACCTTCCATTTTAGAGTGAATAATCATTTCTACTTCAGTATTTTGGCACAGGTAAAAGCAGTCCCATTACTGCGCGTATACCCAAAGGAATATAAATCATTCTATTGCAAAGATACATGCACACATGTGTTCATCGCAGCACTATTCACAATAGCAAAGACATAGAATCAACCCAAATGCCCATCAATGATAGACTGGATAAAGAAAATGTGAGACATATACACCACGGAATACTATGAAGCCATAAAAAGAAACAAGATCATGTCCTTTGCAGGGACATGGATGGAGCTGGAAACCATTATCCTCAGGAAACTAACACAGGAACAGGAAATCAAACGCTGCATGTTCTCACTTACAAGTGGGTGCTGAACAATGAGAATGCGTGAACACAGGGAGGGGAACAACACACACTGGGGCCTGTCGGGGGGGGGGTGGGGTAGGGGTAGGGAGAGCATTAGGAAAAATAGCTAATGTATGCTGGGCTTAATACCTAGGTGATGGGTTGACAGGTGCAGGAAACCACCATGGCGCACATTGACCTATGCAATAAGCCCACACATTCTGCACATGTACCCCGGAACTTAAAATAAAAATAAAAATTAAAATTAAATTATGACACCATGATCCTAGCATATCCAAAAAAGACAAAAATGCCAATATCAAATGTCGGAGAAAATAGGGCTGAATTAAAAATCCAATACAACGCCGGGCGCAGTGGCTCACGCCTGTAATCCCAGCACTTTGGGAGGCCAAGGTGGGTGGATCACTTGAAGTCAGGAGTTTGAGACCAGCCTGGCCAAACGTGGTGAAACCCTGCCTCTACTAAAAATACAAAAATTAGCCGGGTGTGGTGGCACTCGCCTGTAGTCCTAGCTACTAGGGAGGCTGAGGCAGGAGAATCACTTGAACCCGGGAGGCGGAGGTTGCAATGAGCTGAGATCATGCCACTGAACTCCAGCCTGGGTGACAGAGCGAGACTCCGTCTCAAAAAAAAAAACAAAAAAAAAAAACCCTCAAAAGCTCAGGCAGCAAAAGCAAAAATAGGCAAATGAGATCATAGCAAACTGCAAACCTTCTGCACAATCAAGGAAACAAACAGCAGAGTGAAGAGACCACCTACAGAATGGGAAAGAATATTTGCAAGCAAGAGATTAATCTCCAGAAAATACAAGGAGCTCAAACAATGCAGAGGTTTTGAAGGATGGTGATGAGAAGGTTCTGCTACTTACAGAAAGGAAGTTTAGGAGAAACAAAACCACAAACCTAGGTGGTGGGATGGCTTGATCTGCTTCTGTCTGTGACTCACTTAACAGTCTTAAACACATCTCCCTAAGCCTCCTTCCCCCGGTGGGATTCCTGGGTCTTGTGAGGACCTCATCGGTCCCTCTGGTAAACCCAGGCACAGAGTGGAGCAGCTCTTGTTTTCTCAGGATCTTCCCCTTCACATACAATTAACGCACCCACACGATGCTACTCTTAGAACCCTTCAAATAAATGTTTCCCGGTTCATTCACTACCAGAATCCAAGCTCAGCTTGTTCCCCAGCTTAGGACTGAGTGGTATCTTGGAGGTAGTTTCCACCATAGCCCCCTTCCTCTGCTATAAGGCTCAGTGACACACCAGAGACACCCCCTCCAGCCAGGCTCCTGGAAGGTCTGGATGAAGACTGGGATGCTGAGGCATTGCTCAGCAATGTGGCTTAACTCAAACTTCTATGTGAAACTTCCAACCACTTTCAGCAAGGGGTCACTTCCAGCGTCTTGGGGTGTGAGGGCACTTTGGTTGGTCCCTGCAATATCAGACCCTATAAAGATCCTACAAACATGTTGCAGACTCTTTGAAGATTCTGGCACTTTCAGACATGCTGTTGGGAAATGGTGACACCCATAACCTTCTAGTTCCAGGACAGGGAGCCTTAGCCCAGGGCTATGTTTTCTGAGGGTCCTCAAAGTAAACAGTTCTATGTGCCAGGAGAACCCTAAATCTCATATGGTTCTAAGGGCAGAAAGCCACACACGCACCGGCAAAAAGCAAGAGATTCAAGGAAAAGCTGAGCAAAGACAGACAGGAAAACACACACATGATGAGCCAGCTTGTAGAGCTAGAACTGAGATGGAGAGAGGCACGAGTGGGTAACAGAGTGTGCTCCCCAGAACAGGTGGAGAGAATGCCTTTTTCATGCCCTGAGGATAGGCTGGGTAAGGCTTGTGCTCGACAGTCAAGGACTATTTTTTTCCCCAGGCGTCTACAAGAGACCTTCCTTCTCAGCTCAACTGTGCCCTGCAGTAAGTAATGATGGAGAGAATGTGACTTTGCTCTGCAGCTCTGGAAGCTCATTTGACCTGTGCCTTCTAACGAGGAAGGTAAGGCCCCTGGACACTGGCTCACTGGGGTGCAGAGACAGAGTGGGGCATTCAGGCCAACTTCTCTCTGGGTCTTGGGGCTGGTGATGGGACCTCTAGATGCTGCAGCTCTCTGTCGATGGCTCTGCCTGTGAGTGATCAGCCCTAGATGACCACTGTTACTGGGGGTAGCCCATGCCTGCTGCATGCCCTGTGAAACACTAAATCATATAGCCACGTCTGAGGGACAGCCTGCTGGAGACATGGGAATCTTAGGGATTCCAGACAAAATGAAGCAATGAGAAACACAAAGAGGAAAAGAGAGGTTGAGTATGACAGTGGTGTCAGGGTGTAGGGTGGTAGACAGGGCAGCTCCACACTCTCCACTGCTTCCTGTCTGGAGGCCCACTTTGGGGTCCTACTTATCCAGGTGAGTGAAGGAAGAGGTCAGGACAAACACAGGAGGTGAAGCCAGATACAGTGTGGGGAGATAAGCAGTGGCCTCAGCCTCTAGCCCTTTTCCATCTTCCAGAAGCCCCTCCTGAGCTCTCATCACAGACAGATTTCCCATTTGGAAACCCAGATATTTATCATGCCGGGGGGGGGAGGCAATGTCTCTTGATTATGGGGACTTTCCATCACCAGGCACCTGCTAGTCCTCTCTATACCTTCCCTTCAGGAAAGGAATTGTCCCTCATGGGATTCCAGGGAAGAGACCCCAGGACCCCTATCAGTCACTAGGGAGATGACAGAGTAGAGGAAGTCAGGGGACCAACCCTCCACAGAGAATGGTCCTACTTCAGTGGGGTGAGGGAAACTCTCACTCATCCATTTGCTGTCCTGTTACCTCGGAACCCTAAGAGAACTTGTTAGTCACACACAGAATCTACCCCTGAATGTGGTGTGCAAAGTGGGGCTCTTAGCCTCCAGTGTGAAGTCCCTGGGAAGATGGAATGTCCCTGTGTGAGTGAAGGCTGTGCCACCGCCCAGCTATGTGGCCTTGGGCTAGGCAACCCCTCCCAGGTCCCCAGTTCCCCATCTGCATCGGAGACTGTGGCCAGTGCGGGAATCCACAAGGCCCTTCAGCCTCCAAAGCTCTGGGACAGAGGCCTCGTCCACAGGGAGGAAGGGGTCAGAGTGACCTGAGTCCCTACTCAGGAGCGAGTCTAATCCACTCTCCATCGGGGCCTGTGGGGAAGGGAAGATGAAGAAACGGAGCCTGCACCTGGCTATGTGGGCGCAGTAGATTAAGGGGAGGATGAGGGTTCCTGAGAGTGTGTCATGTGGCAGAGACCCTGCAGCACACTCAGGAAGGGCTCTGGAAGGATCCAAGGAAATTTTCCAAGAAGAGGGCAGAGTAAGTGACAGAGACCCTCAACCATGGATTTCACTGAGGTGCCCATGATGACATAGGGAGAACGGGGGTGTCTGGGCAGGAAGAATATCGTCAGGGTGAAATGAATGGTGATGAGCTTCGTGTCAGAGCTCCTGTGGAGGGAGGGGCCTGGCCCACATGAAAAGGTCTCTGATCCTACCCCAGCCCCCAGCCCCTGTTCTCCAGGATGACACTGTGGGAATTCCATCAGGAGGGGTGTGATAGGGCTGGTCTTCCTGGCTCGATTCACAACACTGGCTGGGGACTGGGAACCCATGGGGAGCCACAGGTGGAAAGGGAGGAGCCTCAGTGAACCCAGCAGGAACAAACATAGGGTCTGACATGATGGAACTCACTTCCTGGAGGCCAAGAAAGACACTTGCGGGACAAAAGGGAAAGAGCGGTGGCTTGCTTAGTTCCATTCACTGACAACCCACAGGAGATGTCCAGTCCTTTTTTGATTTATTATTTTATTTTATTATATTTTATTTTATTTTATTTTATTTTCACATGGAGTTTTGCTCCTATTGGCCAGGCTGGAGTGCAATGGCACGATCTTGACTCACTGCAACCTCCACCTCTCAGGTTCAAGCGATTCTCCTGCCTCAGCCTCCTGCATAGCTGGGATTACAGGCGACTGCCACCACAGCCAGGTAATGTTTGTATTTTTAGTAGAGATGAGGTTTTGCCATCTTGGCCAGGCTGGTCTCAAACTCCTGATCTCATGTGATCCGCCTGTATCAGACTGCCAAAGTGTTGGGATTACAGGCGTGAGCCACCACACCCAGCCTTTTGTATTTTTAGTAGAGATGGGGTTTCACCATGTTGGTCAGGCTGGTCTTAAACTCCTGACCTCAGGTGATCCATCCACCTCGGCCACCCAAAGTGCTGGGAGTACAGATGTTAGCCACCGTACCCAGCGAGAGTTTCAGTGCTCTATCGGATTCCCTGCCTACTCCATGTTGCATGTAATGTTCCACCTCAGGGATGTTTCTCTCCTTTCTGTCTCCTTCCTCTTCTCCTTCTCCTTTTTTCTTTCTAATTTTTATTTTTTTGAGACAGAGCCTTGCTCTGTTACCCAGGCTAGAGTACAGTGGCACGATCCCAGCTCACTGCAACCTCTGCCTCCTGGGTTCAAGAGATTCTCCTGACTCAGCCTCTCAAGTAGCTGGGATTACAGGCACCCGCCATCACACCCAGCTAGTTTTTGTATTTTTAGTAGAGACGAGGTTTCACCATGTTGGCCAGACTGGTCTTGAACTCCTGCCCTCAGGTAATCCACCCGCCTGTGGCCCCCCAAAGTGCTGGGATTACAGGCGTGAGTCACCACTCCCAGCCCTGAATGATCTTTCCTCTTTAGTGTGTTCTCACAACCACCTCTCACTGAGCTTTCTTGTTTTTTGTTTTTGTTTTTGTTTTTGTTTTTGTTTTTGGCAGAGTCTGGCTTTGTTGCCTATGCTGGAGTGCAGTGGTGCAATCTCAGCTCACTGCAACCTCCGTCTCCTGGGTTCAAGCGATTCTCCCACCTCAGCCTCCTGAGTAGCTGGGATTACAGGCACCCACCACCACACCCAGCTAATTTTTGCATTTTTAGTAGACACAGGGTTTCACCATGTTGGTCAGGCTGGTCTCGAACTCCTGACCTTGTGATCTGCCAGCCTCAGCCTCCCAAAGTGCTGGAATTACAGGCATGAGCCACCACTCCCAGCCCTGGATTATCTTTCCTCTTTAGTGTGTTCTCACAACTACCTCTCACTGCTGGGTTTTCTCTCTTTCTTTTTTTTTTTTTTTTTTTTTTTTTTTGAGACAGTCCGGCTTTGTTGCCCAGGCTGGAGTGCAGTGGCGCGATCTCGGCTCACTGCAAGCTCCACCTCCCAGGTTCAAGCGATTCTCCCACCTCAGCCTCCCTAGTAGCTGGGATTACAGGCGCATGCCAGCACACCCAGCTAGTTTTTGTATTTTTAGTAGAGACAGGGGTTTCACCATGTTGGTCAGGCTGGTCTTGAACTCCTGACCTTGTGATCTTCCTGCCTCGGCCTCCCAAAGTGCTGGGATTACAGGTGTAAGCCACTGCACCCAGCCAGCTTTCTCATTCTTATCCCTTAGTTCTCTGCCAGGGAATAAGATAGAAACCATTCCCTCAACCACATTCTAGTCATGGTCCCTATTCTCATGTTTCCACTTCTCTCTCTTTGGTAATAAATCAATTAATTGAGAAACAAGTAGCTAAATGTTCATCTTCTGCTAGTCTGCATCCCCTTATTTTCCCAGAGCCTCCCCTAATGAAACTGACTTTATTTACTGAACGCAGGAAATGGGTCTCTCCAGATCAGGATGACTTTCTGCTGGGAAATATTTGTCTTTGCATCAGTGGGGAAAAAGAAAGCCGATGTCATGAGTGGAGGCTCTGAGAAAATAAGGGCTGTGTTTTCAGTTTAGACCCAGCTAAGTTGGGAGCTGACATAGATATGATGTTGGGTCCACCCTCCACGGGCAGGTTTTCAGACAAAGGATCCCTGGCAATCAGGGGACACCTCAGGTCTGGGCTGAGATGTGTGCAGAGGGCCTGGGTCCTCCTGAGCCCCTGCACTGGGGGGGGAATAAGAGACAGGCCCAGCAAGGGGCTGTCCACTTCCTGTGGGTTCACAGCTGTGGGGACCCAGGCAGGCGGCAGCAGGCTCTGACTTAACCACATCCGTGCATCTGTCTGTCATGGAGGGCCATGTGGTCACCTGTCCCACAGCTGGAGCACGCAGAGCAGGCATCATGGTGTCCATCCTCACTGTTCTTCTGTGCCTCAGTCAGTGGTGGAGAGACGAGGGACAGGAGGGGCACTGGGCTGAGGTGGGGAGGGTCCCACAGCAGCCTTGTTCACCAGAGAGCCTCAGGGCTCCAGTGGCTACTGGTGCTCCAACAGGAAGGGAAGCAGCCACACCTCTGTGTTCCAAATCCCCCACAGGAAACTCTTCTCCATGGCTGAGTCTGGGCCAGAAAGCCCAAGCACTTGCAGGTGAGTCTCTGCTAACCTCCCATGCCTGACCTCACACTCAGCACCTGGACTCTCATCTCAGGGGCTTCTGAACTGAGGGTGAGAAAATCAAGAGGGTCTGTGACCTGAGCTGGGAATGAGGAGCGGGGGAGGTCTGTGGACCCCAGCCTGTGGTTTCTTCCAGGGACCCTCCCCAAACCCAGCCTCTGGGCTGAGCCAGGCTCTGTGATTACCTGGGAGAGCCCCATGACCCTCTGGTGCCAGGGGACCCTGGATACCCAGGGTTACTATCTCACCAAGGAAGGAAACCCCATGACCTGGTACCAACAGAGCCCACCAGAGCCCAGGAACAAGACCAACTTCTTCATCCCATCCATGAGAGAGCACCATGCAGGGAGATACCACTGTCACTATCTCAGCCCTGCAGGCTGGTCAGAGCGCAGCGAGCCCCTGGAGCTGGTGGTGACAGGTAAGAGGACACTCAGGGGTCCCAGCCCCAGGCTCTGCCTGCAGGAAGGGGGTCAGCTCTCAAGGGCATCTCCGTTCTAATAACTCAGCCCTGGGGGATGATGTGGGACGCGTGAGCCCCATTTAAGACAGTGTCTCCTTCTCTCCTAGGAGCCCACAGAAAACCCACTCTCTCAGCCCTGCCGAGCCCTGTGGTGACCTCAGGAGAGAACGTGACCATCCAGTGTAGCTCAAGGGTGGGATTTCACAGGTTCATTTTGATTGAGGAAGGAGAAAACAAGCTCTCCTGGATGCTGGACTCACAGGAACTCTCCAAGGGGCTGTCCCTTGTCCCTGGCCCTGTTCCCTGTGGGCCGTGTGGCTGCCAGTCACCGGTGGATGTTCAGATGCTATGGGCATTACACGAACTTCCCCTGGGTGTGGTCGGAACCCAGTGATACCATGGAGATCCTGGTCTTAGGTATGGATGTCTTCCTCCTTGCCCTATTTATTTTTGAGAACTTACTCTCACGGAGCCCCATGTAGGAGGGTGGAACAAGGGAAGTTTGGGACTCCTGAGCCCAGAGACACTGAGTGTGAGAGACAGTGAGACCTGCAGGGCCAGGAGGGGAGAAGGAAGGGGTGTGGGAGGAACCAGCCCTCCTAGTCCCGACTCTTCTTTCCCTCCAGGCGTGTCTAGGAAGCCCTCCCTCCTGACCCTGCAGGGCCCTGTCGTGGCCCCTGGGGAGAATCTGACCCTCCAGTGTGGCTCTGATGTCGGCTATGACAAATTCACTCTGTACAAGGAGGGGGGACATGACCTCGTCCAGGGCTCTGGCCGGCAGCCCCAGGCTGGGCTCTCCCAGGCCAACTTCACCCTGGGCCCTGTGAGGGTCTCCCACGGGGGCCAGTACAGATGCTACGGTGCACACAACCTCTCCTCCGAGTGGTCGGCCCCCAGTGACCCCCTGAGCATCCTGATCGCAGGTGAGGAGCCCAGCAGGTTCAGTCAGGGACCCAGGCTCCGCACAGGCCCTGCTGGGGGAGCCCAGGTGGTGATGGCCGGGATGAGGGGTGGGGGTCCTAAGGGACGGAGAGACAGACAGAGACAGGGGATGGGCGGGGAGGGGGAGACTCAGAGAAAACAGAGACAGAGACACTGAGGGTCCCAGGGAGAGGCCTGGGGAGGTGTCAGCTCAGAACGAGGTGGGGCAGCCCCTCACCCATCCTTCTTCTCTCCAGGACAGATCCGTGGCAGACCCTCCCTCTCGGTGCAGCCGGGCCCCACGGTGGCCTCAGGAGAGAACGTGACCCTGCTGTGTCAGTCACGGGAGCAGTTGGACACTTTCCTTCTGACCAAGGAGGGGGCAGCCCATCACCCACTGCGTCTGAGATCAGAGCACCAAGCTCAGCAGCACCAGGCTGAATTCCCCATGAGTCCTGTGACCTCAGCCCACGCGGGGACCTACAGGTGCTACAGCTCACGCAGATTCTTCCCCTACCTGCTGTCTCACCCCAGTGACCCCCTGGAGCTCGTGGTCTCAGGTGAGGCCGCTGACCCTGTCCTCTCTGAGCTCAAACCTCAGCTCAGGCCCTGCCCCCAGGAGAGCTCAGGACGCTAAGGAAAGAGGGGAGTAAAGGGGGAGGGTCGGCAGGGGAGGGCCCAGCCCATGAGAGGGTGGAAATAGTCAGGGACCTCCTAATCCTGGGCTCCCACCCCAGAGACCTCAGATGGGGCTAAAGGCCAGGGAGGGCTGAAATGAGATATGGAGAAACCTTGGAGGAATCATGCTTAGGCTGAGGGTAGAAGATGGAGGCCCCACCCACTCCCCACCTGGGCTCCCCTGGCGGCCCCAAAATACTCAGTGCATACCTGAGACGAAGGGGAGATCATGCACCTGCTCACTGCAGCAATGCAGGCAAATTATTCAACAGCAAACCTCGTGTGCAATTCCTTTCTGTCCTTTATTTTTTATGTCCACATATCTAGTTTCTCTTTCTGTTTCTGAAGATTTCAAAGCAATGCTGGCATTTATAATTTACACATTTAATTTGTTAGGTAGCGTTATGATGTAAAATAACTGTGCTCTGATTTTCTTTGGGATTAAATTAAATATGTGCATTCATGATGGAGAATAACTTCTCATTAATAATGTCTTTGTATCCAATACATTTAAAATTAAACTTTATACAGTTAGCAGATGCTTGAAGTTGTATTCATAAAAATTGTGGACATTGTGAATTTTAAGCATTGTTTTACTACTTGAATAATTTGAAAGTCTTTGATTCCTTTCTATTTTCTAAAATTAGTTACGTATGGATGAGAAAGCTATTGGTTTGGGTATGCTAATTTTAGTTCCTATTAACTTACCACAGACACACTCCCTTTCAATCCTTTCCGAAATGATCTCTTCTGATTTATTGATAATAATTACATTAACCACAAGAAAATGGAGGACAAACTTGTTTGTTTCTAAATTATATAATACTCTTCTCACTTCAAATATATATGTATGTGTTTATATATACTCACACACTATTATATATCTTATAATATATATTATGTATTATATATTTATATATACACTATTATATATCTTATATATTATGTATTATATATTTATATATACCCACACATTATTATATCTTATAATATATATTATGTATTATATATTTATATATACCCACACATTATTATATCTTATAATATATATTATGTATTATATATTTATATATGCACTATTATATATCTTATATATTATGTATTATATATTTATATTACCCACACATTATTATATCTTATAATATATATTATGTATTATATATTTATATATACACACACTATTATATATCTTATTATATATTATGTATTATATATTTATATATACTATTATATATCTTATAATATATAATGTATTATATATTTATATATACACACACTATTATATATCTTATATATTATGTATTATATATTTATATATACATACTATTATATATCTTATAATATATTATGTATTATATATTTATATATATACACTATTATATATCTTATTATATATTATATATTTATATATGCACACACTATTACATATCTTATTATATATTTATATGTATACACACACTATTATATATCTTATTATATATTATGTACTATATATTTATATATACTATTATATATCTTATAATATATAATGTATTATATATTTATATATACACACACTATTATATATCTTATATATTATGTATTATATATTTATATATACATACTATTATATATCTTATAATATATTATGTATTATATATTTATATATATACACTATTATATATCTTATTATATATTATATATTTATATATGCACACACTATTACATATCTTATTATATATTTATATGTATACACACACTATTATATATCTTATTATATATTATGTACTATATATTTATATATACTATTATATATCTTATAATATATAATGTATTATATATTTATATATACACACACTATTATATATCTTATATATTATGTATTATATATTTATATATACATACTATTATATATCTTATAATATATTATGTATTATATATTTATATATACACACTATTATATATCTTATTATATATTATATATTTATATATGCACACACTATTACATATCTTATTATATATTTATATGTATACACACACTATTATATATCTTATATATTATATATTTATATATACTCACACTATATCTTATAATACATATTATGCATACACATATGCATAATACATATTATCTATACACATATGCATAATACATATTATGTATACACATATGCATAACACATATTATGTATACACACATATTTACACCTATGCATATATGTATGTATGTATGCGAATGTACCTCTGCCACGGCAGGGAAAGGTTCTATCACACAACTACAGAGCAGTTAGGAGAAGTGTAGACACAAAGGAATGCAGCAACTGAGGGACATGTTGGCTTAAGTCTCTTCAACTCCTCACACACCTCCCCCTTTTTTGGTTGATTCTCAGGAGCAGCTGAGACCCTCAGCCCATCGCAAAACAAGACAGACTCCAAGACTGGTGTGTAAGGAGATGCTCTCGGTTATGGGGCTGGCACAGAGGGTCAGGTCCTGTGAAGGGGAGGTGGGTGCCCTGGGTGGACATCCAGGGGTCCCGGGTGATGTTGATCTGCCCTGACCTCTGAGACCTCTTGGTCCACCATCCCCAGCCTCACACCCCCAGGATTACACAGTGGAGAATCTCATCCGCGTGGCTGTGGCTGGCTTGGTCCTGGTGGTCCTCGGGATTCTGCTGCTTTAGGACTGGCACAGCTAGAGAAGTCCCCAAGATGCAGCAAGGAGGTAAATACATGAGAGAACAATGCACCCTTCAGAGTGCCAGAGCCTTGGCAATGAATCTGATAGTCCTAGGAGGTTCTGGAAGAAAGTCTGGACCATCATTCGGGAAACCGTCTACTGAGAAAGTCGAGAAGGGGAGGCTTGGGTCAGGTTCAGGAAGATGTCTGGGTGCCTGTAGAGAACGCTTCCTCCATTAAACTTCCATTAAATGGCAGTGCTTTCAGTCCTGCTGTTGTGGATCCTCCGTGTCTGCCCCTCCCTTCCTTTCGCTCTCTGTGATGTGAAGGCACGTCCCCCATGGTGGGTTTGCATCCACACCCCTGCGATCACGTGCTCTGGTCCACTGTCATGTAATACATTTGTCTTTGTTTCCAACTACCGCATTCTCTAAAGTGAACTATTGATTCTCCATCTTTTCAGTTCTGAGCATAGATCTGGATTAAATAACTGGAATAGGTGGGCAGATTTGTATTTGGGACTTTGAAACATGAGTCTGAGGCCAGGCACAGTGGCTCACACCTGTAATCCCAGCACTTTGGGAGGCTGAGGTGGGCGGATCACTTGAGGTCAGAAGTTCGAGACCAACCTGGCCAACATGGTGAAACCCTGTCTCTACTAAAAGATACAAAAATTAGCTGGGTGTGGCAGTGAGCACCTGTAATCCCAGCTGCTCAGGAAGCTGAGGCGGGAGAATAGCTTGAACCCGGGAGGCGGAGGTTGCAGTGAGCCAAGATCTTGCCACTGCACTCCAGCCTGGGCAACAGAGCAAGACTCCATCTCCAAAAAAAAAAAAAAAAAGGGAAATATGAGTCTGAAATGATGCCCTAGCACCCTCTCTGGACCCTGAATTCCCTTCACTCTTCATCGGATGATACCTGTGTACTTTGTCCAGAAATATCATCTCTCAGAATGAGCACACTAACGCTCGAAGGCTCAGCCTCATGGTATTCTGTTAAACTGGCTCTCTGAAAAAATTATTTTCTTAAGAAAACTCTGAACATATAAAGCCCCAGATTTATGGTATTTGCTGATTAGTGTGGTATAAATACGTCCTTTATGGCCAACTTCAGGGTGCCCATATGACGCCATTGAATGCACAGTTGGGAAGTAGTCAAAAGAATTGTCGTTCACACGAGTATGAACCAGTTGTAAAGTTTATTTAAAGGTTATAATAATTTCTGCTTCATTCTTATGGTGTAGTTTCAGTAAAATTGTAATGTCAAAAATCATAGCACAATGGAGGGAAAAGAAAAAAATAGGCCGGGTGTGGTGGCTCATGCCTGTAATCCCAACACTTTGGGAGGCCGAGGCAGGAGGATCACCTGAGGTCAGGAGTTCGAGACCAGCCTGGCCAACATGGTGAAACGCTGTCTCTACTAAAAATACAAAAATTAGCCAGACATGGTGGCGCCTGCCTGTAATCCCAGCTACTTGGGAGGCCAAGGCACGAGAATCGCATGAACCCAGGAGGCGGAGGTTGCAGTGAGCCGAGATCACTACAGCCTGGGTGATAGAGCAAGACTCAGTCTCAAGAAAAGAAAAAAGTAGCAAAATCATTTTTTGGAAAGAATATTGAACATGTAGAATTTTAGTACATTAATAGTAAGAGTACAAATTGCTTTAATCAATTAAGGAAGTGTATTGGAATTATCTAGTTAAAAAGAGGAGGCACATGGCTGTGACCCTTCTTAATTATGTACTTAATTATGTACCCTAGAGATAAATGTCTACTTATGTGTCATGATACACTCACAACTGTTATAGGAATGCTGTTCCTATTAGCCAAAGCTATAAAATACCAAAGTCCACCTACGAAAAAAATAAACATAGTGTGGTAAATAGACTCAGTGGAATATTACAAGGTAGTAAAATGCATAAATGAAAATAACAAACAGCACCATACTTCAATTTTCAAGCATAAAGTCAAGTAAATGAAGTATTATTTGAAAATGTGTGCATGGTTATTTCATTACATAAAGGTCAAAAGGAGGGTACATTTATTATTTAGGAAAACACACCTAAGATATCTTTGTAAAATCTGTAAAATCAATAGTACTGTTTCCCCTCTTTCATTCCTTATCTTGAAAATGCTTGTCTCTTTTTCTGCCATGGCTTTCTACCTTGCTTGATATATTACAATTTTGTAACCTGCTTATTTCATCATATGTCATAAGTTCACATGTATATCCCATGAATTATTGAGGGTCTTATTCATTTCAAGTGGCATTTAGGTTTTTAAAAATATCTTTTGGCGACCAGGTGCAGTGGCTCATGCCTGTAATCCCAGCACTTTGGGAAGCCAAGGCAGGTGGATCACGAGTTCAAGAGACAGAGATCATCCTGGCGAACATGGTGAAACCCCGTCTCTACTAAAAATACAAAAAAAAAAAAAAAAATAGCTGGGCATGGTAGAGGGTGCCTGTAGTCCCAGCTTCTCAGGAGGCTGAGGCGGGAGAATGGCATGAACCCGAGAGACGGAGGTTGCAGTGAGCCGAGATCGTGCCACTGCACTCCAGCCTGGCAACAGAGTGAGACTCTGTCTCAAAAAAAAAAAAAAAAGAAAGAAAGAAAGGAAGAAAAAAAAATCTTCTGGCATTAACTATTAAGAAATTGCACTATAAAAAGAGAATATAATGCATAAGACGGCAATTTGAAAAGATTCAGATATAATTTTTTCTTATCTAGTAAATACTTAGTAATTTGTCTAATGCATGCCTTAAATACATACCACTTTATGCAGAGGTTGCCATGAGCCGAGATCGCGCCGTTGCACTCTAGCCTGGGTGGCAGAGCAAGACTCCATCTCAAAAAAAAAAAAGAAAATCTCACAGAAGGAGACCCAGAGCTTCCAGCCTCGCCCAGAGTCTTGGCTCACTCCCTGTGTGTGTGGACCCTAGGGAGCCTCTTCTGTTCCCCACAGAGGTGGAAACTTCCTCCTTAATAACCCCTTGATGGTCCCAGGCACTGGTGACCACTGAGCTTTGCTCTCTCTTTTTTCTTATGGTTCCCTGTCTACTTCCAGGGCTATCACTTTACTTTTTGTGCATTAGACCATGAATAATGTTTTAGAAACATTCTATCAAATTTCTCAGTGCTAGGAACAACTGAGGTTTTTGATTGGGTGCCTCAAATGTCTACCCTTACTGTGGAGTCCGACAACAGGATTCTAACAAGTCCCAACCCCTTCATGCCTTAACCTGGTCTGGAAATAAATTATGTTTAAGCCATCCCATACCCCAGCCACATCAAGCCCCACAACCACTCTGAGAAGTGAGATTTATAGCAAAATGCTCCAAACAAGGTAACTAAGGTTCAGACAAGGGATGTTAATGTGTCCATTTACATAAACAAAAAATGGTAGATGATCAGCTTTCCCTTTGAAATCAGAGTACTAATCTGACTCATTGTTCCCTGAATTTTAGAGGCAGGACCTCAGGAGGAGCTAAGAATCCTACCCCAGGAAAATTACCAATATCAGAAAGGAAACAATGACATCAGTACAGATCCTACAGAATTCAAAAGATTCTAAGTGGACATTATGAAGACATTATTCAGCTTAGATGAAGTGGTCACATATCACAAGAAAACAAACTGTCTAAAACAATCTCTGAAATACCTAGACATTCCCTGAATCATTGAGTTATTAAATAAAATACATTTTAAAATTAAACTCTTTTCAGGAAATAAACTTCAATGTCCCCTAGTGCACTCTCCAAAACATGTAGATGGGAATAAATACTGTTCTGAAAGACATTTCCCTGGAATTACAACCATTCAATATATTTTAAAAGGCAATCATAAAAATATAAAAAGGATATATCAGGAGAAGAAATGTAAATGGCCTAAATTCCCCACATAAAAGGCATAGAGTGGCAACGTGGATAAAAAGCCAAGAGCCAACTGCCTGCTGTCTTCAAGAGACCCATCTCACATGTAATGACACCCACAGGCTCAAAGTAAAAGGATGAAGAAATATTTACTAGGCAACCAGGAAACAAAAAAAAGGAAGGCATTCCTATTCTTATATCACATGAAACACACTTTAAATCAACAGCAATCAGGAAGGACAAAGAAGGGCATTACAAAATGATAAAGGGTTCAATTTGACAGAAGACTTAACTATTCTAAATATATATGCACCCAAATTTGGAGCACCCCGATTCATAAAACAAGTTATTCTTCACCTATGAAAAGAGTTAGACAGCCACACAATAATAGTAAGGGACTTCAGTATCCCACTAACAACGTCAGATGAATCACTAAAACAGAAAACTAACAAAGAAATTCTGGTCTTAAAGACAACACTTGACCAATTGGACCTCATAGACATCTACAGAGTACTCCACCCAACAACTGCAGAATATAGATTCTTCTTATCTGCACACACAAAAAACATATCATATTCTAAGACTGGCCACAAAGCAAGTCTCAATAAATTCAAAGAATCAAAATCATAACAAGGCACACAATAAAAATAGAAAAAAATACCAAGATGATCTCTCAAAACTACAGAAAAACATGGAAATTTAACAACTTGTTTCTGAATGAATATTAAGAGCCATCTATGACAAATCCACAGCCAACATCATATTGAATGGTCAAAAGCTGGAACTGTACCCCTTGAGAACTCTTGGGTGAACAATGAAATTAAAGCAGAAATCACAAAACATTATTTAAAATTAATAAAAATAGAAACAAACTTACCAAAACCTTTGGGATGCAGTTAAAGCAGTGATAAGAGGAAAATTTATAGCAATACATGCCTCATCAGAAGTTTAGAAAGATCTCAAATTAGTGACTTAACACTGCATCTAGAGGAACTATTAAAAAAAAGGAACAGTCCAAACCCAAGGCCAGCAAAAGATGAGAAATAACTAAAGTCAGAGAGAACTGAATAAATTGAGACCAAAAAGTCCATACAAGAGATAAATAAAACCAAGAGTTTTTCTTTGAAAAAAAATAAACAAAATTCATAGACTGTTAGCTAGATTAACAAAGAAAAAGAGAAAAGATCCAAATAAACACAAATAGAACTGACAAAACAATGTTACGAACAATCCCACAGAAATAGAAAAGATCGTCAAAGACTATTATGAACACCTCTATACAAACAAGCTAGAAAACCTAGAAGAAATGGATAAATTCCTGGTAACACAAAATTTATCATATTTCAACCAGGAAGAAAGTGAAAACCTGAACAGACCAATAACAAGTTCAGAAATTTAATCAGTAATAAAAACCCTACTAACTAAAAATAGCCCAGGACCAGATGGATTCACAGCCAAAATCCAACAGCCATACAAAGAAGAACTGATACCGATCTTACTGAAACTTTTGGAAAAAATCAAGGAGTGGGGGCTTCTTCCTAACTCATTCTATGAAGCCATCATCACCATGATACCAACATCTGTCAGAGACATAATGAAAAAAAGAAAACTACAACTAAATATCCTTAATGAACATAGACATAAAATCCTCAACAAAATGCTAGCAAATTGAATCTGTCAGTGCATCAAAAGTTAATTCACATGATCAAGTAAGCTTTATTTTTGGGATGCAAGGTTGGTTCAACCTACAAAGTCAACGAATGTGATTCACCTCATAAACATAATTAAAAACAAAAACTATATGATCATCTCAATAGATGCAGAAAAAGCTTTCTGTAAAATCCAACATCCCTTCATGATAAAAACTGTCAATAGGCATCAAAGGAACATACCTCAAAATATTAAGAGCCATCTATGACAAACCCACAGCCAACATCATATTGATGGGCAAAAGCTGGAACCATACCCCTTGAGAACCGAAACAAGACCAGGATGACCACTCCCGCCATTTTAATTCAACATGGTACTGGAAGTCCTAGCCAAAGCAATCAGGCAAGAGAAGGAAATAAAAGGCATTAAAATTGGAAAAGAAGTAGTGATACTGTCTCTCTTTGCTGATGAAATAATTTTATACATAGAAAACCCTAAAGACTCTGTCAGAAGGCTCCTGAAACTGATAAACAAATTCAATAAAGTTTCGGGATTAAAAAAATGTACACAAATTAGTAACATTTCTATGCACCACTAACATTCTAGCTGAGAACTAAATCAAGAACACAATTCCATTTACACTAGCCACAAAGAAAATAAAATACCTAGGAATCCATCTAACCAAGAAGGTGAAAATTCTCTACAAGGAGAACTACAAAACACTTCTGAAAGAAATAAGAAATGATACAAACAAATGGAAGAATATTCCATGCTCATGAATTAGGAGAACAAATAGTTAAAATCGCCATACTTCCAAAAACAAATTGCAGACTCAATGCTATCCATTTCAAAATGCAATGTCATTTTTCACGAAATTATAAAAATTTATTCTAAAATGTATTTGGCACCAAAAAAAGAGCCTGAATACACATAGGAATCCTAAGCACAAAGAACAAAGCCCAGGCATCACATTACCCAACTTCAAACTATACTACAATGCTATAGTAACCCAAACAGCATGATACTACTACAAAAACAGACACATAGACCAATGAGACAGAATAGAGAACCCAGAAATGAGGCTACATACCTACAATCATCTTTGAAAAAATTGACAAAAACAAGCAATGTGGAAAGTACCCTTTCTTCAATAAATAGTTCTGGGATAACTGACTACTCATATGCAAAATAATAGAACTGGACCCCTAACTCTCACTATATACAAAAATTAACCCAAGATAGTTTAAAGATTTAAATGTAAAACCTCAAAATATTAAAATTCTAGAAGAAAACCTAGGAAATATCCTTCTCAAGATAGACTTTGGCAAAGAATTTATGGCTAACTCCCCAAAACCAATTGTGACAAAGACAGAAATTGGGACCTAACTCAACTGAAGAGCTTCTGCACAGCAAACGAAAGTATCAACAGAGTAAACAGATAACCTACAGACTGGGAGAAAATATTTGCAAACTATGCATCTGACAAAGTTCTAATATCCAGAATCTATAAGGAATGTAAACAAATCAACAAGCAGAAAACCAAAAAACCTCAATTAAGTATGACATGAACAGACACTTCTCAAAAGAAGATGTACACATGGCCAAAAAACATATGAACAAATGCTTATTATCAGTAATCATCAGAGAAATGCAAATTAAAACCACAGTGAGATACCATCTCACAACAATCAGAGAAGCAGAAGCAATTACTAAAAAGTTTTTTGTTTTTTTTAATAACAGATGCTGACAAGATTGTGGAGAAAAGGGAACACTTATACACTCTTGGTGGGAATGTTAACTAGTTCAGCCAATGTGATAAGCAGTTTGGAGACTTCTCAAATAACTTAAAATAGAACTACTATTCAATCAAGCAATCCCACTACTGGGTATATACCAAAAGGAAGGTAATTAACTATGTCAAAAAGACACATGCACTAGTATATTCATTGCTGTGCAATTCAGAATAGCAAAGATTTGCAGTCAACCTAAGTGCTCACCAACAGTGGATTAGTTAAAGAAAATGTGCTACATATACACATGGAACATTACATGGCCATAAAAAATAATGAAATCATGTCCTTTGCAGCAACATGAATGTAGCAGGAGGTCAATCTCCTAAGTGAACTAACCCAGGAACAGAAAACCAAATACCACATGTTATCACTTATAACTGAGAACCAAACATTGAATACACATGAACATAAAGATGGAAACAACAGATACCGAGGACTACAGATGGGGGGAGGAGTAGGGAGGTATAGGCTGAAGAAACACCTGTTGGATTCTATGCTCATTGCCTGGGTGATGGCATTGTTGGAACCACAAACCTCAGAGTCACACAATATGCCTATGTAACAAACCTGCATGCATACCTTTAATCTACAGTAAAGGTTGAAGTTATTTAAAAATAGGAAGAAGAATTACCCTATACCTAAAGCTAAGATTTTTCCCTTTGAATATTCGTTTCTTCATCACTGTAGATAAGCAGGGAAAGAAAAATTATTATACTATACTAGCCTTTTATGTGACCATGAGGATTTGGGGTAGGTAGGTGGACAGCTTAGATAATTCACCAGGATATTGATACAGGCTCCATGGCTGGAAATAACCAAGGATGAGTGCTGTGTTTTGAGTGGTCTCCCCCAGAAACGTTTGTTGAAATCCTAACCCCTGGTATGTATGAATGTGAATTCATATTATATAAAAAGGAATAAATAGCCTGAGCACAGTGGCTCACACCTGTAATCCCAGCACTTTGGGAGGCCAAAGCAGGTGGATCATTTGAGGTCAGGAGTTCTGGCCAATATGGCAAAACTTCATCTCTACAAAAAAAAAATACAAAAAAAAAAATTGGCTGGGTATGGTGGCGCATGCCTGTAGTCCCAGCTACTCAGGAGGCTGAGGCAGGAATTGCTGAAACCTGGAAGGCAGAGGTTGCAGTGAGCCAAGATCATGCCACTGCACTCCAGCCTGGGTGAGACGGCAAGATATTCTGTCAAAAATAAATAAATAAAAAACAGAAGAAGAAATACAAGAATGACAGCAAACTTTGTATTCAAAACTATGAAAGTAAGAAATAGGTGGACCAACATTTTTAAAGTGCTACAAGAAAATATTTCAAACTAGAATCTTTCAACCTGAAAAGGAAAACATTTTCCTGCAATAAAGGTGCCATTAAAAATGTCTCACAATTTATTACATGAAGCATTGTTCTACAATAAATGTTAAGCTCTTGAAGCAAAGATTAATGATACCATTTAGTAACTTGAAATTCAAAAAAGTGGAAGTATCCCAAGAGGCAAATACGTGTGCAATTATTAAATGTTTCATATCAACACCCAACCTTATGCTGTCTACATAAGCTGCACTTCAAATACTAATCCACAAGATGTAAATATTGAAAGAATGACATTACATTGTCATGATAATGCCCAGTGCAAAATATGCTTCTAGTCAGTTGTATACATAGAATAGGTAAATGTTTGTAATAAAAAGTATTCCTCAATAGAAGTTTCTTAACTCAAAGAATGAAATATTTCACCATGCACATACAAAGAAGAGATATATGGAGATATGAAGAGGAGTACTTCATAATGACAAAGAGGCAAATTCATAAATAAGACATAATAATCCTAAATGCCTACACACCTAAAGCTGGAACCTCAAAACACATTAAATTAAAGGCATAATTCAAAACATAATCAATCACATCCAAATTGCAGCTAGAGATAGCAACATTCACCTCACTTCCAGAACAAGTACACAGAAAATTATTAAGCATATGAAAGACTTGAAAAACATTTGTGTAGGCGGCGGGTGCATAAGGTTGGGTGTTGATATGAAACATTTAATAATTTCAATAATCCTAGCACTTTGGGAGGCCAAAATGGGAGGATCACTTGAGGCCAGGAGTTTGAGACCAGCCTGGGCACCATAGTGAGACCCCGTCTCTATTTTTTTTAAATAAAGAAAAACATTTGAATGATTTTTTTCTTAACTGACATTTAGAAAACATCCACCTCAAATCTTCCTAATCCACAAACTTGTCTAGCACCCCTGGAACATTCACCAAAATAAATTTTTAAATGCTGAATCATAGGTAATATGATAGATGAAACAGTTGAATTAAATTATAAATGTACAACAAGGAAATGCTGGGGAAATTATCAAATATTTTAAAATTAATAAACACACATAGCAATAAACAATGAGTGGAAGAAAAACATTTCAAAGAAAGGTGGAAAATATTTTGTATCAATTAAAAATGAAAACACATCTCGGCAAATGACTGGGGATACAGATAGAACAGTGTTAAAGGAAAATAAGCCTCAAATGTCTGTGTTAGAAAAGAAGGAAGAGCTGAGTAAATAGGTAACTTTCGCTTGCAGAAATACTACACATCAGCAAATTAATTCCAAAGTAACGTCGAGGAAAAACATAAAATGGCAAGCAAATATATACGTGCATATGTACGTATATTCATAAATGACAAACAGGACAGAAAAATCAGTGACATCAATTTTGTTCCTTAGAAGAAACAGGAAAATTGACCCCAAAAAACTTTCCAGGCCACATTTGGTCATGATGGAAATATTTTGGCACTTCCTGGTTAAGCTCAACACCAACTTGCACCCAAAACCAATAATTTCATTCCTAGGTAAATATGTCTAATTAATTCAGCATATGTATGCAAGGGATCACACAGAAACACGATTATCAAGGCCCGAGTTATAAAAGAGAAAATCCGGAAACAACACAAATGTCCATGATAAAAAGAGTGGATAATTACATGTTGATAAAGTTATGTATGGACTATTAAACTGCAATCCAAAAGAATAAAATAGAACTATAAAATTCAATATGTATATGGTGTCATAGAAACACAAATGTGAGAAAAAGAAAGAAAAATACAAAATTTATATTTTTTAAAATTTGAAACAACTATATATGTGAGTGCTTAGGGTGTGTGTGTGTGTGTGTGTGTATAACCATATGTATATAAACGCACACATACGCACACATATAGAATGTCCCGGCCAGGCATGGTGGCTCACACCTGTAATCTCAGCACTTTGGGAGGCTGAAGTAGACAGATCACTTGAGGTTAGGAGTTCAAGACCAGCCTGGCCAACATGGAGAAACCTCCTCTCTACTAAAAGTACAAAAATTAGGTGGGCGTGATGGTGGGTGCCTGTAAATCCAGCTACTTAGGAGGCTGAGGCACGAGAATTGCGTGAACCTGGGAGGTGGAGGCTGCAATGAGCCGAGGTCTCACCACTGCATTCCAAACTGGGTGACGAAGTGAGATTGCGTCTCAAAAAAAAAAAAAGTTCTAAAAGTTGTGACTTGGGTGTGGCAGATTGTGACATACTGCCAGCTGCTAGAAATGCTGGGGCAGGAGGATTGCTTGAACTCTGAAGTCAAAGAACAGCCTGGGGAAAATAGCACATGAAGAAGAGTTTGAATCTCAGATAAAAACAACAAAAATACATCAAAAGTCTTTAATGTAAGCCAAGCATTCAGTCATCTCCTGTATGAGAGATTGGATCTGAGACGTGTTTTGAGTTGGTTATAGTGAAGGATGCAAGGTGTCAATTCTAGTTGGAACAATTTCCAGGAAGCCATGTTCCGCTCTTGACCAAACAGCCACTGGGCCTCATGCAAGGTAGAAATAGCCTGCATACGTCATCCTCCCATGATGTGGTCAGCATGTAAACTGCATGAGCCCCTCACAACATCCTGTGTGCTGCTGAACTGAGCTGGGGCGCAGCCGCCTGTCTGCACCGGCAGCACCATGTCGCTCATGGTCGTCAGCATGGCGTGTGTTGGTGAGTCCTGGAAGGGAATCGAGGGAGGGAGCGCTGGGGTGGAGATCTGGGCCTGGAGTGGAGATCTGGGCCTGGAGTGGAGATATGGGCCTGGAGTGGAGATATAGGCCTGGAGTGGAGATATGGGCCTGGGGTGGAGATATGGGCCTGGAGTGGAGATATGGGCCTGGAACTGTAGATATGGGCCTGAAGTAGAGATATGGGCCTGGAGTAGAGATATGGGCCTGGAACTGTAGATATGGGCCTGGAGTGGAGATATTGGCTTGGAGTGCAGATATGGACCTGGAATTGAGATACGGGCCTGGAGGTGGAGATATGGGCCTAGAGTGGAGATATGGGCCTGGAGGTGGAGATATGGGCCTGGAACTGTAGATATGGGCCTGGAGTAGAGATACGGGCCTGGAGTGGAGATGTTGGCTTGGAGTGCAGATATGGGCCTGGAATGGAGACACGGGCCTGGAGGTGGAGATACAGGCCTGGAGGTGGAGATATGGGCCTGGAGTGTAGATATGGGCCTGGAGTAGAGATATAGGACGGAGGTGGAGATATAGGCCTGGAGTGGAGATATGGGCCTGGAGTAGAGATATAGGACGGAGGTGGAGATATAGGCCTGGAGTGGAGATATGGGCCTAGAGGTGGAGATATGGGCCTGGAGTGGAGATATGGGCCTGGAGGTGATGTACAGATGGATCATCCATCATGATCTTTCTTTCCAGGGTTCTTCTTGCTGGAGGGGCCCTGGCCACATGTGGGTGAGTCCTTCCCCCAAACCTTAGGTTGTCATCTCCCCACATAAGATGATGCTCCTGAAACGGGAGGCAGGCGACACAGGGGGTTGACTGATGGGCTGACCATGGGAAGCCATGTGGGAATCTCTCATGAACTAGGAAAAGGAAGCCAGGGGAAGCTTCGCCACAGTTCTGTCCTAGCCCTCCCCGGCCTTTCTTTCCCTTGGCTGAGTCTGTGGGGACCCAGGGGGAGACTGAAGTGCTCAAAGGAGTGGTGTGCAGGGAGGAAGTGGTGTCACCGGCAGAGGAAGGGAGAGAAGCAGTGCAAGGAACAACAGGCCTCTGAGGACAAGAGCATAACTCACACCCTCCAGCGTTTCCATGACGGTAGGGGCTGCAATGTGGCTGCTGTCATTCTACCTAAGAGGTGGGGGAACCACAGTCATGACCCTGACATTCCAGATCTTCTAATAGGGGCTCAGTTGTTTATTATGGTTCATGCATTAGCTGATCATGCCCTCCATCCTGTGTCTACCTTGTGTTCTTTTATGTAAGTAATTTTGCAGTGTTAAAATCTAGTAAGAGTCGCTTCTTCAGCACCTGCTCAAAGTTCTCAGCTGACACTTGCTGTAGGGAGACGCCATGTCTATGCGGGATGGGTCCTTCCTGTAGCCCTGGGCACCCAGGTGTGGTAGGAGCCTTAGAAACGTGGAAATGGGAGAATCTTCTGAGCACAGGGAGGGAGGGGCGGCTCCACATCCTCCTCTCTAAGGTGGTGCCTCCTTCTCCCCCAGGTGGTCAGGACAAGCCCTTCCTCTCTGCCTGGCCCGGCACTGTGGTGTCTGAAGGACAACATGTGACTCTTCAGTGTCGCTCTCGTCTTGGGTTTAATGAATTCAGTCTGTCCAAAGAAGACGGGATGCCTGTCCCTGAGCTCTACAACAGAATATTCCGGAACAGCTTTCTCATGGGCCCTGTGACCCCAGCACATGCAGGGACCTACAGATGTTGCAGTTCACACCCACACTCCCCCACTGGGTGGTCGGCACCCAGCAACCCTGTGGTGATCATGGTCACAGGTCAGAGGCTTTCTGTCTGGGCTTCTCACTGTCCCACCTCCTGAATCCCAGAGCTTCTGGTGGGGGCGTCCATCAGGGTCCAATCATCCAGGCCCCGACTGTATTTGGGGTAAAGGGGGATTCAGTACAGAGAAATAGTTGCTGTGGTGGGAAGAATAATTGTCCCCAGTGATGGCTACATGGTAATCCATGAACCCTGTGACTATTTATGTTATAGGGCAGGGGACTGAAGAGGAAGATGGAGCTCAGGTTGTTGATGAGTTGACCTTGCGATGGGGAGACAGCCTGGACTGTCCTGCTGTGCTCAGAGTAATCACAAGGGTCCTCATGAGAGGAGGAGGAAGAGGAAAGTGGGGTTAGAGCAACGTCGTGGGAGGGAGACTCCATCAGCCACAGCGGGCTTTGAAGATGGGGGAAGGCCATGAGCCACAAAGGCAGGTGGCCTCTAAGGGCTGGAGAAGTCAAGGGAACTGATTCTTCCCTGAGTCTCCAGAGGAAACACAGCCCTGCAGATGCCTTGATTTTAGCCCAGAGAGAACTGGGTCCGATTTCTGTTCTCCAGAAGTGGAAGGGGTCATTGTATTCTCTCCTGCCCCATGTTTGTGACAATTTTCTCCAGCAGCAACAGGAAACCAACACAGGAACCCAGGTGAAGCACAGGTTAAGAAACCAAACAAGGAGAAGGTTGGCTACACTGATTTTAGCATGGGTGGGATACTGATGCTACCACCAGGCTCGATCCACATAGGGAGGGGTTGATGCTCCTGGAACCAGCACCAGGGGCCACCCTATGGAAGCTGGGGCCATGGAGAAGGCACAGACATGAAAGGAGAGGCTCCCAATCCCCATCAGGAACAGGGACACTGATGCCTGCCTTACTGATGAGTTCGTACCTCCTGCCGGCCTTTCCAATCTGTCCAAAAGAGATTGATTCAGGCTGCTAAGAGCCTGGACATGCAGCCTGTCATGGTTCCTCTTCCACCCCCACATAAACACCAGGAAAGAGATTAGTGGGAAACAGATACAACAGCCTAAGAGGTGACACTGAGCACAGTGGGAAGGGAATCAGGGCTACTAGAGACAGAGAGACAGGGAAGAGGGAGGGAGACAGATGGAGGGACCTGCAACAGGGGTTATGGGCACAAAAGAACACGGAGACACAGACAGGAAGGAGAGAGATAGACACCATGGAGGGGAAGCCTCACTTATTTCAGGTCCCATGAATGGGATGAGAAAGGGAGACGCCTTCTGAACTCACAACCTCTCTTCTTAGGAGTCCACAGAAAACCTTCCCTCCTGGCCCACCCAGGTCCCCTGGTGAAATCAGGAGAGACGGTCATCCTGCAATGTTGGTCAGATGTCAGGTTTGAGCACTTCCTTCTGCACAGAGAGGGGATCACTGAGGACCCCTTGCGCCTCGTTGGACAGCTCCACGATGCGGGTTCCCAGGTCAACTATTCCATGGGTCCCATGACACCTGCCCTTGCAGGGACCTACAGATGCTTTGGTTCTGTCACTCACTTACCCTATGAGTTGTCGGCTCCCAGTGACCCTCTGGACATCGTGGTCGTAGGTGAGAGAATACAGACCTGCCTCTCACCCTTGCTGGGAGATGGAGTGAATGATCTAGGACTGGAAGCCCCAGGTGGTCATGAGGAAGATGAGTGTGGGGTTCCTATGGAGAGAAAGTGACTTGGTGAGGTCTGTACCAACAAAGGCAGAGAAACAGGAGACACAAGTACAGACCTCATGTCATAACATAGAAGCCAGACACAGGGGCCATACAAGGTGTTAGAAAAAGAGATAAAGAGGTAAAGAAGACACAGAGAGACAGACATATCCCAGAGAGAGGTGTCCTTCTATGCTGACTTTGTTCAGAGACCAGGCACAGGTTAGAAGGTTCCATTCTGTTTTACCTCTACAAAGTGTTCTCTCCCAGGAGAACCCAAAGAGACACATCTATCTGGCCTGAGTTGGGCCATGTGGCCCCAGGCTGGTGGCACCTACAGATGTTGTGTTTATTCTTAAACCTCTGCCTTCCGTGCAGTGGAGCTGTCATCGTCCCAGGACACCATGGCCCCAGGTGAGGGAGCAGAACACCAACCCCTGTATGCTGTGAGTTCCTGGAGTCCCCATACTGGATTCTGAGGCTCATATTCAAATAGCACCACATGTTATAGGATTACTGAGAACAAAAGCCCACAGAGAGACACGGAGTGAAATCAGGGAAATCAAAAAGCAAAGACATGAACACACACACAGAATGAGCCAGAAGAAGGGAATTGAGAGACTCACAGACACATAAAGAGATAGAAAAAGAGGGCAGAGAAGTGGAGCGTATGATGGAAGGAAGCAGAGAAAAGCCCTAAAATCAGAGCCCTGAGGGAGGGGCACAAAGACAGGGAAAGATAAAGATGTGAGGATGGATTGCAGAGACTCCAAAAGGGAACTAGAGAGACTGAGAGGCAGAGAAAGACAAGGAGATGGAGAGAGACAGATGATAGATGGACAGATAGATATAGATAGATGAAAGATAAAAGGTAGATGATAGATAATAGAGAGACAGGTGATAGACAAATAGATGATGAATGACTGATAGATGATATAGATAGACAAGTAGAAAGACAGACAGATGATATATAAATAGATATAGAGAGATAGAAAGACAGATAAACACATGATGATAGATGGATAGATGCATACATACATACATTGATTGATAGATGATAGATAACAGAGAGATAGGTCATAGATACACAGATGATGATAGATGATAGATACATACATAGATAAATGATAGATCGATCAATAGATAATAGATAGAAATATGCAGAAAGTTATGAGCAAGACAGAAAGTGAGAGACTCAGAATTAAAGAAAGAGGAAGATCAAGTCAACCAGTCCAAGGAGGGTCAGAGAGAATAAAATGGTACAAAAAAAGAAAACATAGCTAGGGATGGAGAAGTGAGGTCAGAGACCTAGAGAGACAGAGAAGGTGGAAGGAGGAAATAGACATGAAGAGAGATGGGGGTGGAGGGTGAGAGAGAGAAAGAGAGCATTAAGTCATAGAGCAGGGGAGTGAGTTCTCAGCTCAGGTGTGAGGAGAGCTGTGACAAGGAAGAACCTCCCTGAGGAAACCACCTCTTCTTCTTCCAGGTCTATATGGGAAACCTTCTCTCTCAGCCCAGCCGGGCCCCACGGTTCAGGCAGGAGAGAATGTGACCTTGTCCTGCAGCTCCCGGAGCTTGTTTGACATTTACCATCTATCCAGGGAGGCGGAGGCCGGTGAACTTAGGCTCACTGCAGTGCTGAGGGTCAATGGAACATTCCAGGCCAACTTCCCTCTGGGCCCTGTGACCCACGGAGGGAACTACAGATGCTTCGGCTCTTTCCGTGCCCTGCCCCATGCGTGGTCAGACCCGAGTGACCCACTGCCCGTTTCTGTCACAGGTGAGAAAACACCATGCCTGTCCCATGTCTTGTGATCCTAGAGCCATAGCTGAGGAGCTTCCTGCTGATGATGGAGAGAAGCATGGACAGATGCCGAGACAGAACACACAGCATGGGTGTAAGGGCGGGGTCAGGGCGCAGGATGGCAGACAGGGCACCTCCAAACCCTCCTGTATGGCCTGCAAGGATGCCCTTGATCAGGGTTCCAGGCACCCAGGCAGATGGAGAAAGAGGTCAGAACAGACCCAGAGGAGGGAGACTGGGCTCTGCCTGGGGAGATCAGAGGTTCTCTCAGCCCCTCAACCTTACCCACTTCCCAGAAGCCCATCCTGGCCTGTCACCCACAGAGAGATGTCATCACCAGCAACGCCTACACCCTTTTCTTTTTGTTTGAAGAAATATTTATTGAGGTGAAATATACCTATGTAATTTACCACCTTTACCATTTTTAAGTGTGAAGTCTACTGTTCATAAATACATTTATAGGCTGGGCACGGTGGCTCACGGTTGTAATCCCAACACTTTGAGAGGCCAAGGCAGGTGGATCATTTGAGATCAGGGGCTCAAGACCACCCTGGCCAACATGGGGAAAATCCATCTGTACTAAAAATACAAAATAATAATTATAATGATAATAATTAGCCGAGCATGGTGGCACATGCCTGTAGTCCCAGCTACTTGGTAGGGTTGGGCAGGAGTTGCACTTAATTGCAGGAGGCGGAGGTTGCAGTGAGCTGAGATCATGCCACTGCACTGCAGCCTGGGCAACAGAGAGAGACACTCTCTCAAAATTAATTAATTAATTAATTAGTATTCTTTTTTTTTTACCCTCCACCCTTCCCTTCCTGGCCTCTGGTAGCCACCATTCTACTCTCTACCTTTGTGAGATCCACCTTTTAGCTCCTGCATATGAGTGAGAAATGGAAATACTTGTAATGACCTCCAGTTCCATTCATGTGGCTGTAAATGACAGGATGTTACTCTTTCTATGGATGAGTTGTCCCTATTGTGTGTGTGTACCACATTCTCTCCATCCATTCACCCACTGATGGGCAGGTAGGTTGATCCACATCTTGGCTACTGTGAACACTGCTGGAACAGTCATGGGAGTGCAGATGTCACTTCGATACGCTGATGTCCTTTCCTTTGGGTTTACACCCAGTCATGGAATTGCTAGATCCTCTGGAAGTGTCTTTTTACATTTTGTTTTATGGTTTTTGTTTTTGTTTTTGTTTTTTTTAGACTGTTTCACTCTTGTTGCCCAGGCTGGAGTGCAGTGGCGCCATCTGGGCTCACTGCAACCTCCACCTCCAGGATTCAAGAGATTCCCCAGCCTCAGCCTCCCAAGTAGCTGGGTTACTGGCTCCCACCACCACACTCGGCTAATTTTTATATTTTTAGTAGAGACAGAGTTTCGCTATATTGGCCAGGCTGCTCTTCAACTCCTGACCTCAAGTGACCTACCCACCTCGGCCTCCCAATGTGCTGGGATTACAGGCATGAACCACTGTGCCCGACCTCATTTTATTTTTTGAGGAACTTCCATACTCTTCTCCTCTGTAATGGCTGTACTAATTTACATTCGTATCAGCAGTGTACCAGATGCAACCCTGGTTGACTCAGCAGAGCAAGAGACGTGCAGTAAGAGAGAATTTAGCTTATTTATGCACACGACACTTCCACTCACTCACTCGTTCAGCCAATGCCCCATGCTCAGGCTGTGCAGTGTGGAATCTTTTCCTATTGTTGCCATAACAAATTTCCACAAGCTTCGTGGATGAAAACATGTTTTTCTTAATTATCTCACAGTGCTGTAACTCAGAAGTATGAACTGCATTTCACTGGGCTGATATCAAAGGGACAGTAAGGCTGGATTTCTTTTTAAGGTTCCAAGCAAGAATCTGCTCCTTAACGTTTCCCAGCTCCTAGAGGCTCCCACGTTCCTGGGCCCCTGGTCCCCTTCCTCCTTCCTCCTTCCTCAAAGCCCACAAAGGCTGGTCACGTCTCACATGGCATCATTCAGACTCTTCTTCTTTACCCACACCTTTTTCTCTGAATCCTGCTCTGCCTTCTTCCTCATCTTTTAAGGACTTTGGGATTCTATTGGGGTCACCAAGATAATCCATCTCAATCTCCCTAAAATCATCCAGCGTACCCTCTTTTTAAGTTCAGCTGATTAGCAACCGTAATGCCATCTGCAATCTTCATTCCTCCTTTCCTGTAAAATAACATATTCACAAGCTATGGAGGCTAAGACAGGGACATTTTGGGGGTGGGGCAGCATTCTCCTGCCTTCCACAAATGGTAAACAGGATGCATTTGGCCTCTGCTCTTGGGACGCTGATATTGCAGATGGGTAAATGCGAGGGCAGAGAATGAATGCACAAGGGTACCAATAAATGAATGATCCATTGGGAAGCATCTGTGCACCAAATCTGGGGTTTTTTGTGTGTGTGTGTTTTTTTTGTTTTCTTTTTTTTTTTGAGTAGAGTCTCTCTCTGTTCCACAGGCTGGAGTGCAGTAGCACAATCTCAGCTCATTGCAACCTCTGCCTCCTGGGTTCATGCAATTCTCCTGCCTCAGCCTACCGAGTAGCTGGGATTACAGCTGTGCGCCACCACACTCGGCTAATTTTTTTGGTATATTTTTTTAGTAGAAATGAGGTTTCACCATGTTGTGCAGGCTGTCTCAAACTCCCAATCTCAAGTGATCCCACCGCCTTAGCGTCCCTAAGTGCAAAGATTACAGGCGAGAGCTACTGCGCCCAGCCAGGATTTAAAATAAGTAATAGATAATGCTGAGTATATAATTTCAGGTGACAGAGAAGGTCTCACTGATCAGATAATATTTGTGACCTTAATGGAAAAAATGGATTCAACCCTTGGAAGATTGGCGGAAGGATTTTCCACACTGAGCTCTCAGCCGTGAAGGCACAAAGGTGGAAACATTCTTAGTTCAAGGAAGAGGCTCTGCCTCAAATGCTGGGAATGAAGTGGGGAGAATGACAAGACAACTGTAGAGAGATGGAGAGCACACTGGGTACACAGGAAACTAAGGAGGAACAAGGAGCGTGTGTTTGATACTCACAGCCATTGGATTCAACTCAGAGCTAACTAGGAATCCCTACCTGATTAATAGTGACCGACATGAAAATAAGGGAGGCCCAGGTGCGTAACTGGAATCTAGGAGACGGTGGAAAAGGCAATTCCCGCCCCACTGGTGAAACGTAGGGTTGATTTACACACTAAATGAATGAAAGATGGATATAAGCTATGCTTGTGAGGTAGAATCATTTGCAGGGAGGGCTTGCTGGGTTTGATTTTTCCTAGTAGTTTAATCCTTGTTTCATTAATTTCTTTCTGAGATGTGTTTTTTTTCTACATCTAAATCCATACCTGGCAGAGGAGCGATAGACACATGAGGGGTGGTGCAAATGAAGGGACCTAGTATAATATAATATACAAGACTGTGGATGGGGGCTCACACCTGTAACCCAACACTTTGGGAGGCCAAGGCGGGTAGATCACTTAAGGGTAGGAGTTTGAGACCAGCCTGGCCAACATGGTGAAACCCCGTCTGTACTAAAAATACAAAAATTAGCCTGGTGCATTGGCACCTGCCTGTAATCCCAGCGACTGGGGAGGCTGAAGCAGAAGAATGGCTTCAACCCTGGAGGCAGAGGTTGAACTGAGATCGCATCACTGCACTCCAGCCTGACACAGGGGGACTCTGTCTCAAAAAATAAAAATAAAACATACATAATTATAATATGACACACAGAAATTACAAAGGCAACTGGATACCAACCATCATTTTTCTATTTCTCTGTGTTTAATTCTTTGACCCTTTATCTTATCCATTAAACAATCAGGTTAAACCTCTTCCTTATTTGGCTTTCTGTGAGCTTGGGATCATATGGAAAATGTGAAAGCCTCCTGAACCCACCAGCACAGGTCCTGGAATAGAGAACGTGCTCTGTTCATGGCATAAAACTTGCCCCTTCACCCAAATCCCCCAATTCATCTCTACTTCCAATCACCTATGGAGATACAGATAGATCATGGGGAGGTAAACACTAATACTCTTTGGAGTGAGCTCAGATCTTGGACTCAGAGACCAGTGCCAGCACTAGCCCCTGGTCACATTTCGTACTAACTCACAGAAGGACAGGCTGTATTGAAACAATAAACGACGGAGAGGGCGGTCCTTCCCCGTGCTTCTCGGGTGGAATAGCAGCCTAATATATGTCTCAGCAGATCACAAAAAGTAGCATGTTGTTCCTGGGCTACATCATTATTTCATGGCTGTTTGATTTAAGTCAGTTCTACTTCACTTTTTTTATCTTGATTTCATTTTTTCTTTCTTTTCTTGGAGAATGTAATTTTTTTGAGTCAAGAGGGTTGTGGTGGTAGAAACTGTAAAGCACATTCGCTGTGTATCAATCCCAATCCAGTCTTCCCAGAGAAGATTCTAAACACCTCCTGGAATGCACCTGGGCCTATACCAATTCCTATCACTCACCGTCACTCCAGGGAGACAGAACACACAGAGAACACATTACACAGGCAGGTTCATTACTAACAGATAAGCAGCGAGTGACAACAGAAACCTACATTTCAATGTGAGCCAGTCCCTCAAGGCTCAGAAAAGCTGCTCGAGACATGTGGAGTCACCCCATATGCAGTGTATCTGGGGGAAATCAAAAAGCAGCCCAGCCTGGGTTTTGTACCCTGGAGCCACAGGAAGCACTCAGCTAAAGCACTGCATGACGTCCTCCTCCAGGAAGAACAGGAAGACAGCCCAGGCTGTTCTGGGATGTTCCTCCTGATCTCAGGACGTTGCTGTCTTAGTCCATTTTTGTTGCTCTAAAGGAACACTTGAGCCTGGGTAACTTCTAAAGACAAGAAATGTGTTTGCCTCACAGTTCTGCAGGCTGTACTGGAAGCATGGCACCAGCATCTATTTCTTGTGACGGCCTCAGGCTGCTCCCACTCTGGCAGAAGGGAAGGAGGGTCTGTCTGTGCAGAGACCACAGAGATCACACGGCAAGAGAGGGACCAAGGGGGAGGGGGAGCGATGGAGCTTCCAAGCTCTTTTAACAACCAGTTCTCCAGGAACTAATAGAGGGGGAACTTGCTAACCCCGTCTCCTTGGAACAGCATTGATCTGTTCATGATGGATCCACCTCCATGACCCAAACAACTCCCAAGAGGCCCAACCTCCCACTCTGGGGGTTACATTTCAATGTGAGGTTTGAAGGGGTCAAACATCTAAACTAAAGCAGTTGTATCCTCAGCACGTTCTATGGTTACTACAACTGAGAAAGCAGGAGGAAGCTAGGTCTCCCGCCATCTGGGTGCTTGTCCTAAAGAGACGTTGTATGTGGTTACCTGTCAATCAAGAAATGTGAGACAATTCATATAGAGGAACTGCTATGATTAGCTTCTTATTGGTGTCTTGTCTTCCTCCAGGTAACTCCAGAAACCTGCACGTTCTGATTGGGACCTCAGTGGTCATCATCCCCTTTGCTATCCTCCTCTTCTTTCTCCTTCATCGCTGGTGTGCCAACAAAAAGAGTAAGTCTCACGAAGCAGAAGCCAGAGAGCTCAGGGCCATGTGGGGAAGCAGGATGGGAGCACTCAGGTGTGTGTTCCTCACAGACTGGATGGTCCCTGGCCCAAGGCAGGAGCCACAGAGGCAGGACTTTCTAGAGAGAGCACCAGACTCCCTGCCTCTGCCTTCAGCTCACAGACCATTGCCTGATTCTGAACCGTATCCTCACATCCCCTGCAGCCACTCACATCCAGGAGAAGGTTCCATGACAGGCAGAAAGTGGGACACAGAATCAATAGGATGGGAACTCAGAGCTATACATGGGATGGATCCTTGAGCTCAGAGAGATAGAATGTCTGAGTCTGCTGTTGGCAACTGAGGGACCTCAGGCACCTATGGCCTCCCCCTGTATGTTGGTATCTGCTTATGAAATGAGGACCCAGAAGTGCCCTCCGAGCTGTTTTGACGACTTCCGTCTTCTACAGATGCTGTTGTAATGGACCAAGAGCCTGCAGGGAACAGAACAGTGAACAGGGAGGTAGGTGCTCCTCCGCCCAGCCTCGTGGCTAGTCTTATTCCCAAAGAGTCCTGGAAAATGTGAGCACCCTCCCTCACTCAGCATTTCCCTCCCTCCAGGACTCTGATGAACAAGACCCTCAGGAGGTGACATACGCACAGTTGAATCACTGCGTTTTCACACAGAGAAAAATCACTCGCCCTTCTCAGAGGCCCAAGACACCCCCAACAGATACCAGCGTGTAACACGGAACTTCCAAATGCTGAGCGCAGATCCAAAGTTGTCTTCTGTCCACTAGCACCACAGTCAGGCCTTGATGGGATCTTCTAGGGAGACAATAGCCCTGTCTCAAAACCGGGTTGCCAGCTCCCATGTACCAGCAGCTGGACTCTGAAGGCGTGAGTCTGCATCTTAGGGCATCGCTCTTCCTCACACCACGAATCTGAACATGCCTCTCTCTTGCTTACAAATGTCTAAGGTCCCCACTGCCTGCTGGAGAGAAAACACACTTGCTTAGCCCACAATTCTCCATTTCACTTGACCCCTGCCCACCTCTCCAACCTAACTGGCTTACTTCCTAGTCTACTTGAGGCTGCGATCACACTGAGGAACTCACAATTCCAAACATATAAGAGGCTCCCTCTTAACACGGCACTTAGATACGTGCTATTCCACCTTTCCTCAGAGTATCTTTCAGCCTTCTGTCAGCAGTAAAACTTATAAATTTTTTTTATAATTTCAATGTAGTTTTCTATTCTTCAAGTAAACATGTCTGCCCTCATGGTTTCTTCAATGGGACTCTTTTCTTGCCTAAGGCTTCCGGTGTTATCATTACCACGTCCACATAACCCCATCTGTTCTCCGCTGGGTTCTCAGCCCTGGACTCTGAGCTTCTGGAAGCATGGTGGAGCCTGAATTGTCTCTGAGACTCCAATTTCCATCCAAAGATGCAGCACATAGGAGGTTCCAAGGATGGTGAATCAGATGAACAAGTGATATTCTTACTCTCTGCAGATCTGGAAAGCTGGCAGAGTCATTCCACGATGAAACATTTGTAGAGTCATAGGCCTTGTTAGTCTCATCTCCACAGGGACACGTATCAACACATCATCTTTCATACTACTATAAATAGACAGTCACTCCTCCATATCTCTGGGGTTTACACATGTTTATTGAATCAGCAATAAATCAAAAATATTTTGAGAAAAAAAATCCCCGAAGTTTCAAAAAGCAAAAAACTATGTTGAATCGACACAAATTGAGTGGCGTGTAGGCTGTGTCAGGAATTATAAGTAATCAAGAGATGATTTCATGTATACAGGAGGATGTGCATGGGTTCTATGCAATTGCTATGCTATTTTTTTTTTTTTTTTGAGACAGTCTCACTCTCTCACCCAGGCTGGAGTGCAGTGGCGTGATCTCAACTCACTGCAACCTCCGCCTTCCAGGTTCAAGCGATTCTCTTCCCTCAGCCTCCCCAGTAGCCTCCCCTAGGATTACAGGCACGTGCCACCCTGCACAGATAAATTTTTTTGTGTGTATATTTTTAGTAGAGATGGGGTTTCAGAATGTTGGACCAGCTGGTCTTGAACTCCTGACCTTGTGATCTACCCAGCTCAGCCTCCCAAAGTGCTGGGATTACAGGCGTGAGCCACGGTGCCCAGCTTCACTATGCCATTTCATGCAAGGGGCTTGAGCATCTGCAGATTTTGGTATCTGAATGGGGATCCTGGAACCAATCACCCAGGTATAGTGAAGGACCATGGTATATAATTTTTATTTGTCAATCTTAAAAATAAAGCATAAAAAATTTACAACAACAAGATAAAAAATAAGAAGTGTTTTTATAGTGTGAGGATAAGTTTAGATTTATTTTTTCCTACGTGTAACCCTATGGTCCTGTGTTATTTGTTGAGAAAATATTCTATTCCACCTTAAACTACATGGCAGCCTTTGTCAACTATAAAGGGACTGTGTATCCACAGATGTATTTTAGACACAGTTTTCTGTCCAGTGGTTCTCTGTATCCCCTCTCATGAGGATGCTGCATTTTATATAAACTTATAGAACCCCTTAAAATTTGGTAACCTGAGTCCTCTGATTTGTTATTATAGGTTATTTAGTTTGCTTTTTTTTTTTTTCTTGAGACAGACTCTTCCTCTGTCACCCAAGCTGGAGTTCAGTGGCTTGAGCTCAGCTCACTGCAACCTCCGTCTCCCAGGTTCAAGCTATTCTGATGCCTCTGGTTTAGTAGTAGAAACTCAAGCAGGAAAATTAGAATGGCTTCTTGTCACAATTACTCTGATAATGTTAATAATACCTGTTAGACATTTTGCACATTACATATGAAGAAGAGTTTGAATCTCAGATAAAAACAAAAATACATCAAAAATCTTTAATGTAAGCACAGAATTCAATCATCTCGTGTATGAGAGGTTGGATCTGAGACGTCTTTTGAGTCTGGTCGTAGTGAAGGACGCAAGGTGTCAATTCTAGTGAGAACAATTTCCAGGAAGCCATGTTCCGCTCTTGAGCGAGCACCCACTGGGCCTCATGCAAGGTAGAAAGAGCCTGCGTACGTCACCCTCCCATGATGTGGTCAACATGTAAACTGCATGGGCAGGGCGCCAAATAACATCCTGTGCGCTGCTGAGCTGAGCTGGGGCGCGGCCGCCTGTCTGCACAGACAGCACCATGTCGCTCATGGTCGTCAGCATGGTGTGTGTTGGTGAGTCCTGGAAGGGCATCGAGGGAGGGAGTGCGGGGATGGAGATCGGGGCCCAGAGTTGGAGATATAGGCCTGGAAGTGGAGTTATGGGCCTAGAGATGGAGTGATGGGCCTAGAAGTGGAGATCTGGGCCTGGAGTGGAGATCTGGGCCTGGAGTGGAGATATGGGCCTGGAGGTTGAGATATGGGCCTGCAGTAGAGATATGGGCTTGTAGTGGAGACATGGGCCTGGAGATGGAGATATGGGCCTGGAGATGGAGATATGGGCCTGCAGTAGAGATAGGGGCCTGGAGTGGAGATATGGGCCTGGAGTGGAGATATGGGCCTGGAGTGGAGATATGGGCCTGGAGGTGGAGATATGGGCCTGGAGGTGGAGATATGGGCCTGGAGTGGAGATATGGGTCTGGAGGTGGAGATACGGGCCTGCAGTAGAGATATGGGCCTGGAGTGGAGATATGGGCCAGGAGTGGAGTTATGGGCCTAGAGGTGGATATCTGGGCCTGGAGTGGAGATATGGGCCTAGGAAGGAGATATGGGCCTGGGTGTGGAGATATGGGACTGGAGAGGTGATATGGGCCTGGAGTGGAGATATGGGCTTAGGGTGGAGATCTGGGCCTGGGGCGGAGATATGGGACTGGATTGGAGATAGGGGCCTAGGGTGGAGATCTGAGCCTGGATTGGCGATATGGGCCTAGGGTGGAAATATCAGCCTGGAGTGGAGATATGGGCTTGGGGTGGGGATATGGGCCTGGAAACTGGGTCTCTGCACAGCCGACAGCCCTGTTCTTGGGTGCAGGTAGGCACTGAGGGTGAGTTTAACTTCAGCCCAGGAAGGGCCTGGCTGCCAAGACTCACAGCCCAGTGGGGGCAGCAAGGGAGGCCTGGTTTGCCTGCAGATGGATGGTCCATCATGATCTTTCTTTCCAGGGTTCTTCTTGCTGCAGGGGGCCTGGCCACATGAGGGTGAGTCCTTCTCCAAACCTTCGGGTGTCATCTCCCCACATAAGAGGATTTTCCTGAAACAGGAGGGAAGTCCTGTCGGGGAGTCTCTCATAAACTAGGAAGAGAGGACCCTGGGGTGCTCAGCCCACATTTCTGACCTCGCCTCCCTGGCCTCTCAACCCCTTGGCAGAGTCAAGTTCTGTGGGGACCAGGGTTAGACTGGGGTGCTCAAAGCTGGGGTGTGTGGTTGGGAAGTGGTAGGAACAGCAGATCCTCTGAGGACAAAGGTGTTACTCACACACTTCAGCGTTTCCATGATGGTAGGGGCTGCAGTGTGGCTGCTGTCATTCTACCAGAAGAGGTGGGAAACCACAGCCATGGCCCTGACATTCCAAATCCTCTGATGGGGGCTCAGTTGTTTATTTTCGTTCAGGCATCCGCTGATATCCATTCACAAAGGACATGCCCTCCACCTCATGTCTACCCTGTGTTGTTTTATGTGAGTAATCTTACAGTATTAAAATCTAGTAGGAGTCTCTTTACTCAGCACTTGCTCAAAGTTCTCAGCTGAGGCTTTTGTTGTAGGGAGACACCATGTCTTTGCGGGATGGGTCCTTCCTTCAGCCCTGGGCACCAAGGTGTGATAGTAGCCATAGAAACGTGGAAAGCGAGGAGAATCTTCTGAGCACAGGGAGGGAAGGGCAGTTCCACATCCTCCTCTCTAAGGCGGCGCCTCCTTCTCCCCAAGGTGGTCAGGACAAGCCCTTGCTGTCTGCCTGGCCCAGCCTTGTGGTGCCTCTAGGACATGTCATTCTTCGGTGTCACTCTTATCTTGGGTTTAACAACTTCAGTCTGTACAAGGAAGGTGGGGTGCCTGTCCCTGAGCTCTACAACAGAATATTCTGGAACAGCCTTTTCATGGGCCCTGTGACCCCCGCACACACAGGGACATACAGATGTCGGGGTTCACACACACACTCCCCCAGTGGGTGGTCAGCACCCAGCAACCCCCTGGTGATCGTGGTCATAGGTCAGAGGGCTCCTGTCTTGGATTCTCCTTGTCCCACCTCCTGAATCCCAGAGCTTCTGGTGGGCATGTCCTTGAGGGTCCCATCACGCAGGCCCTGACTGTATTTGTGGTAAAGGGGGATTGAATACAGGGAAATGGGTGCTGTGGTGGGAAGAATAATTGTCCCCAGTGATGACTACATTCTAATCCCTGGAGTCTGTGACTATTTATGTTATAGGGGAAGGGACTGAAGGGGAAGATGGAGCTCATGGGGAGACAGCCTGGACTGTCCCACTGGGCTCAGTGTAATCACAAGGGTGCACATGAAAGGAGGAGGAAGAGGGGAGTGGGGATTAGAGCAGTCCAGTGGAAGTCTTCACCAGCTTTGAAGGTGGAGGAAGGCCAAGAGCCATGAATGCAGGTGGCCTATAGAGGCTGGAAAAGTCAAGGAACTGATTCTCCAGAGTCTCCAGAGGGAACAAAGCCCTGCAGATGCCTTGATTTTAGCCCAGGAAAAATAGGGTCCAATTTCTGTCTCCAGTACTGGAAGGTGTCAGTGTGGTCTCTCCTGCTGCCATGCTTCTGATAATTTTCTACAGCAGCAACAGGAAACCAACACTGGAACCCAGGTCAAGGACAAGTTAAGAAACAACCCAAGGAAAGCCAGGCATGGTGGCAGGTGCATGTAATCCTAGCGACTCAGGAGGCTGAGGGCAGGAGAATCACTTGAACCCAGGAGACAGAGGTTGCAGTGAGCCTAGACCACACCACTTCACTCCAGCCTGGGTGAAGGAGTGAGACTCTGTCTCCAAAATTAATTAATTAATTAAAGAAACCAAACAAGGAGAAGGTTGGCTACCCTGAGATCAGCAAGGGTGGGATGATGATGCCACCACCAGGCTCCATCCACATAGGGAGGGGTTGATACTCCTCCAACCAGCACCAGGAGCCAGCCTATGGAAGCTGGCACCATGGAGAAGGCACAGGCATGGCAAGAGTGGCTCCCAGTCCCCACCAGGAACAGGGTGTGTGGACACTGGTGCCTGCCTTATTCATCAGTTCATACCTTCTGCCAAGGATTGCAATTCATCCAAAAGAGATTGAACCAGGCTGATAAGAGCCTGGATGTGCAGCCTATCCTGGTTCCTCTTTCACCCCCACATAAACAGCAGGAAATACATTAGTGTGAAATAGATACAACACCCCAAGAGATGAGGCTAAGCCCAGTGGGAAGGGAATCAGAGGCTACTAGAGACAGAGGGACAGAGAAGAGGGAGGGAGACAGATGGAAGGACCTGCACCAGGAGTTAAGGGCACAGAAAAGAACATGAAGACACAGAGAGGAAGGAGAGAGACAGACACCAGCAAGGGGAAGCCTCACTCATTCTAGGTGCCATGGATGGGATGATAAAGAGAGACACCTTCTAAACTCACAACCTCTCTTCCTAGGAGTCCACAGAAAACCTTCCCTCCTGGCCCACCCAGGTCCCCTGGTGAAATCAGAAGAGACAGTCATCCTGCAATGTTGGTCAGATGTCAGGTTTCAGCACTTCCTTCTGCACAGAGAAGGGAAGTTTAAGGACACTTTGCACCTCATTGGAGAGCACCATGATGGGGTCTCCAAGGCCAACTTCTCCATCGGTCCCATGATGCAAGACCTTGCAGGGACCTACAGATGCTACGGTTCTGTTACTCACTCCCCCTATCAGTTGTCAGCTCCCAGTGACCCTCTGGACATCGTCATCACAGGTGAGAGTGTCCGGACATTCTCATTGTCATTGGGATGCAGAGTGAATGATCCACGACTTGGAACCCCCAGGTAGTTGTAAGGAAGATGAGCTTGGTATTCTTATGGAGAGAGACTGACTTGCTGAGGTTTGTACCAACAGAGACAGAGAAACAGGAGACACAAGTACAGACCAGGTGTCATAACAGAGGACAGACACAGGGGCCATACAGGGAGTTAGAAAAGACAGAAAGAGTTAAAAGAGACAGACAGACAGACATGTCCCAGAGAGAGGTGTCCCTCCATGCTGACTTTGCTCACAGACCTGGCACAGGTTAGAAGTTTCATTTCTGTTTTACCTCCACAAAGTGTTCTCTACCAGGAGAACCCAAGGACACCCATATTTATGACCTGAGTTGGGCCCTGTGGCCTCAGGCCTTGTGGCACCTACAGGCCATGTTTATTCTGACACCTCTGCCTTCCATGTAATGGAGAGTAATCGTCCCAGGATATCATGGCCCCAGAACACCAACCCCTGTATGCTGTGTGAACTTGTGGTCTCCAGACTGGATTCTGTGGCTCACATTCCAAATAACCCCACATATGAAAGGATCACTGAGAGGCACAGAGAAAAATCAGGAACACCAAAAAGCAAAGACATAAACACACAGAGAATGAGCCAGAGGAAGGAGATTGAGAGACTCACAGACACATAAAGAGAGAGAAAAGAGGGCAGAGGAGTGGTGAGAATGATGGCAGGGAGCAGAGAAAAGCACTAAAATTAGAGTCCTGAGAGAGAGGCACAAGGACATAGAAACATGGAGATGTGGGGATGAATTGCAGAGATTCCAAAGAGAGCTAGAGAGACCGAGAGGCAGAGCAAGACAGATGATAGATGGATAGATATAGATAGATGATAAATAGGTAGATGATAGATAATAGGTTAAAGATACATAGATGATGATTGATTGATTCATTAATAGATAATACATAGAGATGATGATGATGAAGACAGATAATACGTACAGATAGAGAGGCAGACAGAAATCATAGAGAGAGAGATGATACATACATATAAATAACAGATGATTGATGGATAGATAGACAAGTGATAGATACATAGATGATATATAGATATAGATGACAGGTAGAGAATTTGTAGATAGACACCGAATAGATAAATAGATAGATCGACAGATAATAGATAGAAATATGCAGAAAGTTATGAACAGGACACAACGTGAGAAACTTAGAATTTAAAAAAGTAACATCAAGTCAACCAATCCAAGGAGAGTCAGAGAGAATAAAAGAATCCAAAAAGGGAAAACATATCTAGAGGTGGGGAAGCGAGGTCAGAGACCTAGAGAGACAGAGAAGGTGGAAGAAGGAAATAGACATGAAGAGAGATGGGGTGGAGGGTGAGAGAGAGAGAGAGAGAGCATTAGGTCATAGAGCAGGGGAGTGAGTTCTCAGCTCAGGTGAAGGGAGCTGTGACAAGGAAGATCCTCCGTAAGGAAAATGCCTCTTCTCCTCCAGGTCTATATGAGAAACCTTCTCTCTCAGCCCAGCCGGGCCCCACGGTTCTGGCAGGAGAGAGCGTGACCTTGTCCTGCAGCTCCCGGAGCTCCTATGACATGTACCATCTATCCAGGGAGGGGGAGGCCCATGAACGTAGGTTCTCTGCAGGGCCCAAGGTCAACGGAACATTCCAGGCCGACTTTCCTCTGGGCCCTGCCACCCACGGAGGAACCTACAGATGCTTCGGCTCTTTCCGTGACTCTCCATACGAGTGGTCAAACTCGAGTGACCCACTGCTTGTTTCTGTCACAGGTGAGGAAACCCCATATCTGTCTCATGTCCTATGATCCTAGAGCCTTAGCTGAGGAGCTTCCTGCTGATGATGGAGAGAAGCATGGACAGATGCAGAGAGAAGACGAAGCTTGGGTGTGAGGGAGGGATCAGGGCACAGGATGGCAGACAGGGCACCTCCAAACCCTCCTACACGGCCTGCATGAAGGCCCGCGGCCAGGGCTCCAGGCACACAGGCAGATGGAGAAAACGGTCAGGAGAGACGCAGAGGAGAGAGACTGGGCTCAGTTTGGGAAGATCAGAGGTTCCCTCAGCCCCTCAACATTACCCATTTCCCAGAAGCCCATCCTGGCCTCTCACCCACACAGGGATGTCATCACCAGCAACCCCTACACCCTTTACTTTTGTTTGAAGAAATATTTATTGAGGATAAATATACCTATATAGCTTACCACCTTTAACATTTTTTTTTTTTTTGAGGCAGAGTCTAGCTCTGTCCCCTATGCTGGAGTGCAGTGGCACAATCTCAGCTCACTGCAACTTCCGCCTCCTGGGTTCAAGTGATTCTCCTGCCTCAGCCACCTGAGTAGCTGGTGCTACAGGCGCGCACCACCACGCCAGGCTACTTTTTGTATTTTTAGTAGAGAGGGGGTTTCACCATGTTGGTCGAGCTGGTCTCCAACTCCTGACCACGTGATCCACCCGCATCTGCCTCCCAAAGTGCTGGGATTACAGGCATGAGCCACCACGCCCAGCCACATTTACCATTTTTAAGTGTAAAGTCTAGTGGTCATAAATACATTTATATATATATATATATATATATATACACACACACACACATATATACATATATATATATATATATATATATATATATATATATATATATATATATTTTTTTTTTTTTTTTTTTTTTTACCCTCCACCCTTTTATTCCTGGCCTCTGGAAGCCACCATTCTACTCTCTACCTTCATGAGATCCACCTTTTAGCTCTGTATATGGGTGAGAAATGGGAATCTTTGTAATGACTTCCAGTTCCATCCATGTGGCTGCAAATATCAGGATGTTATTCTTTCTATGGATGAGTAGTCTCCACTGTGCGTATGTACTACATTCTCTCTATCCATTCATCCACTGATGGGCAGGTAGGTTGACTCCACATCTTGGCTACTGTGAACAGTGCTGCACCAATCATACGAGTGCAGATATCACTTCGATATATTGATTTACTTTCCTTTGGATATAAACCCAGTAGTGAAATTGCTGGATACTATGAAAGTTCTCTTTTTAGTTATTCGTTTGTTGTTTTGTTTTTGTTTTTGAGACAGTTTCCCTCTGTGCCCAGGCTGGAGTACAAGTGAAGTCATCTTGGCTCATTGCAACCTCCGCCTCCTGGGTTCAAATGATTTTCCTGCCTCAGCCTCCCTAGTAGCTGGGATTACAGGTGCACGCCACCATGCCTGGCTACTTTTTGTTTTTTTTAGTATAGATGCGGTTTCCCCATGTTGGCTGGGCTGCTCTCAAACTCATGACCTCAACTGAGGTGCCCGCCTCGGTCTCCCAAAGTGCCGGGATTACAGGCATGATCCACCTCACCCAACCTCTTTTTAGTTCTTTAAAGGACTTCCACACTTTTCTCCGTAAAGGCTGTACTAATTTACACTCCTACCAACAGGGTATTAGGGTTCTCCTTTCTCTACCACTTTGGCAGGATTTCCTTTGCCTGTCTTGCAGCTAAAAGCCATTTTATTTTATTTCATTTTATTTTGAGATGGAGTTTCGCTCTTGTCACCCAGGCTGGAGTGCAGTGGTGCGATCTCGGCTCACCACAACCTCCACCTCCCAGGTTCAAGCGATTCTCCTGCCTCAGCCTCCCGAGTAGCTGGAATTACAGGCACACGCCACCACGCCCAACTAAATTTTGTATTTTTAGTAGAGACAGTGTTTCTCCATGTGGGTCAGACTGGTCTCAAACTCCCGACCTTATGAGATTCACCCACCTCAGGCTCTCAAAGGTCTAGGATGACAGACGTGAGCCACCACGCCCGGCCTAAAATCCATTTTAATGGGGTGAGATGAAAACTCACTTTGATTTTAATTTGTGTTTCTCTGATGATGAGTGAAACTGAGCACTTTTTAGTATGTGGGGAAATTTCATGTGTTTTGCTCCTTTTTCAATTAAATCATTTGTTTTATTGAGTTGTTTGAGCTTCTTATATTTCTAGTTATTAATCCCATCTCAGATGCATAGTTTGCACATATTTGCTCCCAATCTGTGGGTTGTCTCTTCACTTTGTTGGTTTATTTTTAGCGGTGCAGAAGTTGCTTAGTTTGAGGTAATCCCAATGGTCTATTTTTGCTTCGATTACTTGTGTTTTGAAGGTTTAAAACAAAATGTCTTCCTTCAGACAAATGTCCTGGAGCATTTCCCCAATATTTTCTTCTACGTGTTTCATAGGTTCAGGCCTTAGACTCACATCTTTAATCCATTTTCATTTGAGTTTTGTGTATAGTGACAGGTAGAGGTGCAGTTTCATTCCTCTGCATGTAGATGTCCAGGTTTCCCTGCACTGTTTATTGAAAAGACTGTCCTTTCCTGATTGTGAGTTCTTGGCACCTTTGTCAAAGTCCATTGGATGGGCTGGGCATGGTGGCTGACACCTGCAATTTCAGCACTTTGGGAGCCCAAGGCGGGTGGATCACCTGAGGCCAGGAGTTCAAGATTAGTCTGGCCGACGTGATGAAACATTGTCTCCACTAAAAATATAAAAATTAGCTGAGCATGGTGGTCAGCACCTGTAATACCACTACTCAGGAGTTTGAGGCCAGAGAATTGATTGAACCCAGGAGGCTGTGGTGGCAGTGAACCGAGATTGCACCTCTGCACTCCAGCCTGGGCGACAGAGCGAGACTCCATCTCAAAAGAAAAAAGAAAAAAACATTGGAGGTAAATGCATGGATTATATCTGTGTTCTTCATTCTGCTCCATTGTTCTACGTGCCTTTCTTTATGCCAATGTGATGCTGTTTTGCTTACTACAGCTCTGTAACATATTTTGAGATCAGGTAGTGTGATGCTCCTGTTTTCTCTTTATACCTTGAAGTCTCAAGACAGTGGGCGTCACATACAAAAATTACGGAAAAAAGGATCCCAGGACTCCCAGGGCCCAATATTAGATAACAGAGTGTTGGCCATGAACCAACCTCAAAGATTTCCATTGAGTAGAGGACAGACACCCTCATTTCCTCACCTCTCTCCTGTCTCATGTTCTAGGAAACCCTTCAAATAGTTGGCTTTCACCCACTGAACCAAGCTCCGAAACCGGTGAGTACAGAACCCTCTTATATCCGCTTTTGGAAACCTGGGGAGGTAGAAACCTTCGATGCAGGCATTGACTCAGCATCTCGCAGCTCTGACATTGTACGCCTGTCTTCTACCATCTCCGAACTCCAGATACTCCAACAGCGAAAGGGATCTGGGCCCAACCTAGGGCTCAGTGAAATCTCTTAATCTCTCATTTTATGGAGCTGAGATCTCCTACAAGCTAGAAGAATGATTGCCAATCTGACATCCTTCTCAGGAAAAATGCAATGTTTGTTCTGCCTGCATTCCTAACTGGAGGATAAATTCCTGGGGGCTTGAGAGAGGGAAGGGAAGGGAACATCTGATGAGGGCGAGGTGTTTTAGAGAAGTTCCACTTGCCAAGGAATGAATTACTGTTGGTCATGAAGCAACCCTGGCTGACTCAGCAGAGCAACAGCCTTGCCGTAACAGAGAACGGAGCTCATGCACGCACACTTCGACTCACTGACTCATTCAGCCACGGCCCCATGCTCAGGCTGTGCAGTGCGGAACCTTTTCCTATTGTTGCCATAACAAATTTCCACAAGATTCGTGGGTGAAAACAAAACGGTTTTTTAATTATCTTACAGTGCTGTAGCTCAAAGTAGGAAGTGCATCTTACTGGGCTAAAATCAAGGTGACAGCAAGGCTGCCTTCCCTCTGAGGATTCCAGGCAAGAATCTGCTTCTCACTTATCCCAGCTTCTAAAGGCTCCCAGTTCCTTGGCTCCTGTTCCCCTTCCTCCTTCCTCAAAGCCCACAAAGACTGGTCACATCTCACATGGCATCACTCAGTGCCTTCTTCCTTACCACACCTCTTTCTCTGAATGCTGCTCTCCCTTCTTCCTTATCTTTTGAAAACTTGGGGATTCTATTGGGTTCACCAAGATGAAAATCCCTCATAATCTCCTGGAAATCATCCAGGATACCCTTGTTTTAAGTTCAGCTGATTAGCAACCGCAATTCCATCTACAATCTTCATTCCTCCTTTCCATGTAAAATAACATATTCACAAGCTATGGAGGCTAGGACAGGGACATTTTGGGGTGGGACAGCATTCTCCTGCCTTCCACAAACGGTGAACAAGATGCATTTGGCCTCTGCCCTTGGGACACTGATATTGCAGATGGTTAAATGGGAGGGCAGAAAATGAATGCACAAGTGGATCTATAAATGAATGATCCATTGGGAAGCATCTGTGCATGAAATCTATTTTTTGTTTGTTCTTTTGTTTATTGAGACAGAGTCGCCCTCTGTCTTCCAGGCTACAGTGCAGTGTCACGATCTTGGCTCACTGCAACCTGCGTCTCCTGGATTCAAGTGATTCTCCTGCCTCCGCCTCTCGAGTAGCTGGGATTACAGGCAACTGCCACCGTGCCCGGCTAATTCTTTTTGTATATTTTTTGTAGAAAGGATGTTTCACCACGTTGGCCAAGCTTGTCTGAAACTCCCAACCTCAAGTGATCCGACCGTCTCAGCATGCCAAAGTAATGGGACTACAGGCGTGAGCCACTGTGCCCAGCCAGAATTCAAAATCAATAATAGATAATGCTGAGTGTATGATTTCAGGTGACAAAGAAGGTCTCTCTATTCAGATATTTGTGACATTAATGAAAAACACGGATTGAACCCCTGAAAGATTGGCGGAAGGATTTTGCACACACAGCTGTCAGCCGTGAAGGCACAAAGGTGAAAACAATCTGATGTGGAAGGAAGAGGCTCTGCCTCAAATGCTGGGAATGAGGTGGGGAGAATGACAAGACGACTGTAGGGAGACGGAGAGCACACTGGGTACACAGGAAACTAAGGAGCAACAAGGAGTGTGTGTTTGACACTCACAGCCATTGGATTCACCTCGGGGTAACCAGGAATCCCTACATGATTAATATGACGGACATGAAAATAAGGGAGGCTCAGTTGCATAACTGGAATCTAGGAGACCGTGGAAAAGGCAATTGCCGCCCCACTGGTGAAATGTGGTGCTGATTTAGACACTAAATGAATGAAGTAGATGGATATAAGATATGTTTGTGAGGTAGAATCGTTGACTGGAAAGGCTTACTGGGTTTGATTTTCCTACTTGTTTAATCCTCGCTTAATTAATTTCTTTCTGAGATTTATTCATCCTACACATAAATCAATACCTGGCAAAGGAGTGACAGATATATGAGTGGTGGTGGAAATGAAGAGACTTATTATAGCATAATATACAAGTCTGTGAACAGTGGCTCACGCCTGTAACCTAGCACTGCAGGAGGCCAAGGTGGGTGGATTCCATGAAGTCAGGAGTTCCAGACCAGCCTGGCCAACGTGGTGAAACCCTATCTCTACTAAAAATACAAAAATTAGCCGAGCACGATGGTGCATCCCTGTAATCCCAGCTCCTATTCTGGAGGATGAAGCAGGAGAACGACTTCAACCCAGTAGGTGGAGGTTGCAGTGAGTGGAGATTGCATCACTGCACTCCAGCCTGGGGGACACAAGGAGACTCTATCTCAAAAAATAAAAATAAGAAATACATAAATATAATAAAACACACACGAATGACAAAGGCACCTGAATTCCAATCATCGTTTTTCTATTTCTCTATAATTACTTCTTTGATCCTTTATCTTATCCATTAGGCAATGAGCTTAAAACCTCTTCCCTATTTGGCTTTCTGTGAGAATGAGATCACATAGAAAATGTGAAAGCCCTCAGAATCCTCCAGCACAGATCGTGGAATAGAGAAAGTGCTCTGTTCATCGCAACAAAAAACTTGCCCACTCACCCAAATCCCCCACCTCACCCCTACTTCCAATCACCTGTGGAGATTCAGATAGGCTATGGGGAGGTAAACATTGATACTCCTTGGAGTGAGTCCAGATCTTGGAATCAGAGATCAGTGCCAGCACTAGCTCCTGCTCCCCTTTCCTACTAATTCACAGGAGGACAGGTGGTATTGAAGCAATAGATGGCCGAGGGGGTGGTCCTTCCCCCAGCCTCTCGGGTAGAACAGCAGCCTAACATGTGTCTCCCGAGATCACAAAGAGTAGCACGTTTCACACGGGCTTCAACACTATTTCCTGGCCATTTGACATAAGAGAATTCTACTTAGCTTTTTTTATCTTGATTTCACTTTTGTTTCCTTTTCTTGGAGAATGCAAGTTGTTTGATTCAAGAATGCTGTGGATGTAGAAATCCTAAAGCACATTCGCTGTGTATCAATCCCAGTGCAGTCTTCCCAGAGAAGACTCTAAATACCTCCTGGACTGCACCTGGGCTTATGCCAATTCCTATCACTCACCGTCACTCCAGGGAGACAGAACACACAGAGAATACATTACACAGGCAGGTTCATTACTAACAGATAAGCAGCGAGTGACAACAGAAACCTACATTTCAATGTGAGCCAGTCCCTCAAGGCTCAGAAAAGCTCCTCGGGACATATGGAGTCACCCCATTTGCAGTGTAGCTGGGGGAAGCCAGAGAGCAGCCCAGCCTGGGTTTTGTACTGTGGAGCCACAGGAAGCACTCAGCTAAAGCACTGCATGACGTCCTCCTCCAGGAAGAACAGGAAGACAGCCCAGGCTGTTCTGAGACGTTCCTCCTGATCTCAGGACGTTGCTGTCTTAGTCCATTTTTGTTGCTCTAAAGGAACACTTGAGCCTGGGTAACTTCTAGAGAAAAGAGATTGGTTTGCCTCACAGTTCTGCAGGCTATACTGGAAGCGTGGCACCAGCATCTATTTCTCGTGACGGCCTCAGGCTGCTCCCACTCTGGCAGAAGGGAAGGAGGGTCTGTCTGTGCAGAGACCACAGAGATCACACGGCAAGAGAGGGAGCAAGGGGGAGGGGGAGCGATGGAGCTTCCAAGCTCTTTTGAACAACCAGCTCTCCAGGAACTAATAGAAGGGGAACTTGCTAACCCCGTCTCCTTGGGACAGCATTGGTCTGTTCATGATGGATCCACCTCCATGACCCAAACACCTCTCAAGAGGCCCAACCTCCCACAGTGGGGGTGAAATTTCAATGTGAGGTTTGAAGGGGTCAAACATCTCAACTAAAGTAGTTGTATCCTCAACACGTTCTATGGTTACTATGAGAGCTATAACTGAGAAAGCAGGAGAAAGCTGGGTCTCCCTCCATCTGGGTGCTTGTCCTAAAGGGGTGTTGTATGTGGTTACCTGTCAATCAAGAAATGTGAGACAATTCATAAAGAGGAACTGCTATGATTAGCTTCTTATTGGTGTCTCCTCTTCTTCCAGGTAACCCCAGACACCTGCATGTTCTGATTGGGACCTCAGTGGTCATCATCCTCTTCATCCTCCTCCTCTTCTTTCTCCTTCATCGCTGGTGCTGCAACAAAAAAAGTAAGTCTCACGAAGCAGAGGCCAGAGAGCTCAGGGCCATGTGGGGAAGCAGGATGGGAGCACTCAGGTGTGTGTTCCTCACAGACAGGATGGTCCCTGGCCCAAGGCAGCAGCCACAGAGGGAGGACTTTCTAGAGAGAGCACCAGACTCCCTGTCCCTGCCTTCAGCTCACAGACCATTGCCTGATTCTGAACTGTATCCTCATGTCCCCTGCAGCCACTCACATCCAGGAGAAGGTTCCATGACAGGCAGAAAGTGGGAGACAGAATCAATGGGATGGGAACTCAGAGCTATTCATGGGATGGGTCCTTGAGCTCAGAGAGATAGAATGTCTGAGTCTGCTGTTGGCAACTGAGGGACCTCAGGCTCCTATGGTCTCCCCCTGTATGTTGGTATCTGCTTATGAAATGAGGGCCCAGAAGTGCCCTCTGAGCTGTTTTGTTGACTTCCGTCTTCTACAGATGCTGTTGTAATGGACCAAGAGCCTGCAGGGAACAGAACAGTGAACAGGGAGGTAGGTGCTCCTCGGCCCAGCCTCGTGGCTAGTGTTATTCCCAAAGAGTCCTGGAAAATGTGAGCACCCTCCCTCACTCAGGATTTCCCTCTCTCCAGGACTCTGATGAACAAGACCCTCAGGAGGTGACATATGCACAGTTGAATCACTGCGTTTTCACACAGAGAAAAATCACTCACCCTTCTCAGAGGCCCAAGACACCCCCAACAGATATCATCGTGTACACGGAACTTCCAAATGCTGAGCCCTGATCCAAAGTTGTCTCCTGCCCATGAGCACCACAGTCAGGCCTTGAGGGGATCTTCTAGGGAGACAACAGCCCTGTCTCAAAACTGGGTTGCCAGCTCCAATGTACCAGCAGCTGGAATCTGAAGGCGTGAGTCTGCATCTTAGGGCATCGCTCTTCCTCACACCACAAATCTGAACGTGCCTCTCTCTTGCTTACAAATGTCTAAGGTCCCCACTGCCTGCTGGAGAGAAAACACACTCCTTTGCTTAGCCCACAATTCTCCATTTCACTTGACCCCTGCCCACCTCTCCAACCTAACTGGCTTACTTCCTAGTCTATTTGAGGCTGCAATCACACTGAGGAACTCACAATTCCAAACATACAAGAGGCTCCCTCTTAACACGGCACTTAGACACGTGCTGTTCCACCTTCCCTCATGCTGTTCCACCTCCCCTCAGACTAGCTTTCAGCCTTCTGTCAGCAGTAAAACTTATATATTTTTTAAAATAATTTCAATGTAGTTTTCCCTCCTTCAAATAAACATGTCTGCCCTCATGGTTTAGGTAATGGGACTCTTTTCTTGCCTAAGGCTTCCGGTGTTATCAGTACCATGTCCATATAATCCCATCTGTTCTCCACGGGGTTCTCACCTCTGGACTCTGAGCTTCTGGAAGCAGTGTGGAGCCTCATTTGTCTCTGGGACTCCAATTTCCATCCAAAGATGCAGCACATAGGAGGTTCCAAGGATCGGGAATCACATGAACAAGTGACATTGTTACTCTCTGCAGACCTGGAAAGCTGGCAGAGTCATTCCACAATGAAACATTTGTAGAGTCATAGGCCTTGTTAGTCTCATCTCCATGGGGACACATATCAACACATCATCTTTCATACTATAAATATACGGTCACTCCTCCGTATCTGTGGGGTTTACAGGTCTTTATTGAACAAAGTATAAATCAAAAATATTCAGAGAAAATATCCACAGAGTTCCAAAACTCATAACTATGTTGAATGGACACAAATGAAGCTGTGTGTAGGCTGTATCAGGAATTATAAGTAATCAAGAGATGATTTCATGTATACAGGAGGATGTGCATATGTTATTTGCAAGCGCTGTGCCATTTCATATAAGAGGCTTGAGCATCTACAGATTTTGGTATCTGAGTGGAGATCTCGAAACCAATCACCCACGAATAGTGAAGGATGACCGTATATGACTTTTATTTCTCAAATTTAAATATAAATCAAAAAATGTACAACTAGATAAAAACTAAGAAGTGTTTTTATAGTGTGAGTTAGATTTATTTTTTACTAGGTGTAACCCATTGGTTTAATATTATTTATTGAGAAGACATTCTATGCCACCTTAAACCACACGGCAGCCTTTGTCAACTCTAAAGGGACTGTGTGTACATGGATGTATTTTAGACAGTTTCTGCTAAGGGGCTGTCTGTGTCCACACTCTTGATGATGCTACACTTTATGTAGCCTTATAGAACCCTTTAAATTTAGTAGCCAGAGCCCTCTAATTTGTTATTATAGGCTATTTGCTTTTTTTTTTCTTGAGGCGGAGTCTTGCTCTGTCGCCCAGGCTGGACTGCAGTGGTGCAATCTCAGCTCACTGCAACCTCCGCCTCCCAGGTTCAAGCGATTCTCGTGCCTCAGCCTCTTGGGTAGCTGGCGTTACAAGTTCCTGCCACTGGGCACGGCTAATTTTTGGATTTTTAGCAGAGACACGGTTTCACTGTGTTGCCAGGCTGCTCTCAAACTCCTTATATCAGTTGATCCGCCCACCTCGGCTTCCCGACGTGCTGGGGGAAACTTGATTTTCTATAGCATTATGTTACTGGATATTTCTGTAAAATTTAAAATGAGGGAGGCAGAGAGACAGAGAGAGAACAAACTCCAGAGTTGGGACTCTGGAAACTTGGGTCATGAGACAAATTTTAGATAAATCTACAAAAATCCAGAGTTTAAATGTGTGGTTTTTGCTGATAACGTACAATTCAAAGATTGTAAATAATTGCATAATCCTTCCCTGGGAATTTAAATCATTTTAACTGGTTCTGCTGTAATACTAGAAATACAAGCATGAAAAATTCTAATGGTTTATTAGTCACAATGACTCTGAAAACCTTAATAATACCTATTAGATATTTTGCATATTACACATGAAGAAGAGTTTGAATCTCAGATAAAAACAATAAAAATACATGAAAAGTCTTTCACGTTAGCACAGATTTTAGGCATCTCGTGTTCAGGAGGTTGGATCTGAGACGTGTTTTGAGTTGGTCATAGTGAAGGACGCTAGGTGTAAATTCTAGTGAGAACAATTTCCAGGAAGCCGTGTTCCGCTCTTGAGCGAGCACCCACTGGGCCTCATGCAAGGTAGAATGAGCCTGCGTACGTCACCCTCCCATGATGTGGTCAACATGTAAACTGCATGGGCAGGGCGCCAAATAACATCCTGTGCGCTGCTGAGCTGAGCTGGGGCGCGGCCGCCTGTCTGCACCGGCAGCACCATGTCGCTCACGGTCGTCAGCGTGGCGTGTGTTGGTGAGTCCTGGAAGGGAATAGAGGAAGGGAGTGTGGGGTTGGAGATCTGGGCCCAGAGGTGGAGATATAGGCCTGGAGGTGGAGTTGTGGGCCTGGAGTGGAGATCTGGGCCTGGAGTGGATATATGGGCCTAGAGATGGAGTGATGGGCCTAGAAGTGGAGATCTGGGCCTGGAGTGCCGATAGGAACCTGGAGGGGAGATAGGAGCCTGGAGTGGAGACATGGGCCTGGAGGTGGAGTTATAGGCCTATAGTAGAGATATGGGCCTGGAGTGGAGATTTGGGCCAGGAGTGGAGATATGGGCCTAGAGGTGGATATCTGGGCCTAGAGTGGAAATATGGGCCTAGGATGGAGATATGGGCCTGGTTGTGGAGATATGGGACTGGAGAGGAGATATGGGCCTAGAGTGGAGATATGGGCTTGGGGTGGAGATCTGGGCCTGGGGTGGAGATATGGGCCTGGAGGTGGAGTTACGGGCCTTCAGTAGAGATATGGGCCTGGGGTGGAGATATGGGCTTGGGGTGGAGATCTGGGCCTGGAGTGGAGATATGGGCCTGGAGGTGGAGTTACTGGCCTTCAGTAGAGATATGGGCCTGGTGTGGAGATATGGGCCTGGATTGGAGATATGGGCCTAGGGTGGAGATCTGAGCCTGGGGTGGAGATATGGGCCTGGATTGGAGATATGGGCTTACAGTGGAGATCTTGGCCTGGATTGGCGATATGGGCCTGGATTGGCGATATGGGCCTATGATGGAAATATCGGCCTGGAGTGGAGATATGGGCCTGGAGTGGAGATACAGGCCTAGGGTGGAAATATTGGCCTGGAGTGGAGATATGGGCTTGTGGTGGGGATATGGGCTTGTGGTGGGGATCTGGGCTTGGAGGCTGGGTCTCTGCACAGCCGACAGCCCTGTTCTTGGGTGCAGGTAGGCACTGAGGGTGAGTTTAACTTCAGTCCAGGAAGGGCCTGCCTACCAAGACTCACAGCCCAGTGAGGGCAGCAAGGGTGCCCTGGTTTGCCTGCAGATGGATCGTCCATCATGATCTTTCTTTCCAGGGTTCTTCTTGCTGCAGGGGGCCTGGCCACATGAGGGTGAGTCCTTCTCCAAACCTTCGGGTGTCATCTCCCCACATAAGAGGATTTTCCTGAAACAGGAGGGAAGTCCTGTCAGGGAGCCTCTCATAAACTAGGAAGAGGGGACCCTGGGGTGCTCGGCCCACAGTTCCGACCTCGCCTCCCTGGCCTTTCATTCCCTTGGCAGAGTCAAGTTCTGTGGGGACCAGGGTTAGACTGGGGTGCTCAAAGCTGGGGTGCGTGGTGGGGAAGTGGTAGGAACAGCAGATCCTCTGAGGACAAAGGTGTTACTCACACTTCAGCGTTTCCATGACGGTAGGGGCTGCAGTGTGGCTGCTGTCACTCCACCAGAAGAGGTGGGAAACCACAGCCATGGCCCTGACATTCCAAATCCTCTGATGGGGGCTCAGTTGCTTATTTTCATTCAGGCATCTGCTGATATTCCATTCTCAAAGACATGCCCTCCACCCCATGTCTACCCTGTGTTGTTTTATGTGAGTAATCTTACAGTATTAAAATCTAGTAGGAGTCTCTTACTCAGCACTTGCTCAAAGTTCTCAGCTGACACTTTTGTTGTAGGGAGACACCTTGTGTTTGCGGGATGGGTCCTTCCTTTAGCCCTGGGCACCAAGGTGTGATAGCAGCCATAGAAACTTGGAAAGCGAGGAGAATCTTCAGAGCACAGGGAGGGAGGGGTGGCTCCACATCCTCCTCTCTAAGGCGGTGCCTCCTTCTCCCCAAGGTGGTCAGGACAAGCCCTTGCTGTCTGCCTGGCCCAGCTCTGTGGTGCCTCCAGGACATGTGATTCTTCGGTGTCATTCTTATCTTGGGTTTAACAACTTCAGTCTGTAAAAGGAAGATGGGGTGCCTGGCACTGAGCTCTACAACAGAATATTCTGGAAGAGCCTTTTCATGGGCCCTGTGACCCCAGCACACACAGGGACGTACAGATGTCGGGGTTCACACCCACACTACCCCAGTGGGTGGTCGGCACCCAGCAACACCCTGGTGATCATGGCCACAGGTCAGAGGGCTCCTGTCTTGGATTCTCCTTTCCCACCTCCTGAATCCCAGAGCTTCTGGTGGGCGTGTCCTTGAGGGTCCCATCACCCAGGCCCTGACTATATTTGGGGTAAAGGGGGATTGAATACAGGGAAATGGGTGCTGTGGTGGGAAGAATAATTGTCCCCAGTGATGACTACATTCAAATCCCTGGAGTCTGTGACTATTTATGTTATAGGGGAAGGAACTGAAGGGGAAGATGGAGCTCAGGTTGTTGATGAGTTGACCTTGAGATGGGGAGACAGCCTGGACTGTCCCGCTGGGCTCAGTGTAATCACAAGGGTCCACATGAAAGGAGGAGGAAGAGGGGAGTGGGGATTAGAGCAGCGCAATGGGAGACTCCACCAGCTTTGAAGGTGGAGGAAGGCCAGGAGCCATGAATGCAGGTGGCCTGTAGAGGTTGGAAAAGTCAAGGAAATGATTCTCCAGAGTCTCCAGAGGGAACGAAGCCCTGCAGATGCCTTGATTTTAGCCCAGGAAAAACAGGGTCCTATTTCTGTCTCCAGTAGTGAAATGGGTCAGTGTGCTCTCTCCTGCTGCCATGCTTCTGATAATTTTCTACAGCAGCAACAGGAAACCAACACTGGAACCCAGGTCAAGGACAAGGTAAGAAACAACACAAGGATAGCCGGGTGTGGTGGCAGGCGCATGTAATCCTAGCGACTTGGGAGGCTGAGGGCAGGAGAATCACTTGAACCCAGGAGACAGAGGTTGCAGTGACCCTAGACCACACCACTTCACTCCAGCTGGGGTGAAGGAGTGAGACTCTGTCTCCATAATTAATTAATTAATTAAAGGAACCAAACAAGGGGAAGGTTGGCTACACCGAGATGAGCAAGTGTGGGATGATGATGCCACCACCAGGCTCCATCCACATAGGGAGGGGTTGATACTCCTCAAACCAGCACCAGGAGCCAGCCTATGGAAGCTGGCACCATGGAGAAGGCACAGGCATGGCAAGAGTGGCTCCCAGTCCCGACCAGGAACAGGGTGTGTGGACACTGGTGCCTGCCTTATTCATCAGTTCATACCTACTGCCAAGGATTCCAATTCATCCAAAAGAGATTGAACCAGGCTGATAAGAGGCTGGATGTGCAGCCTATCCTGGTTCCTCTTTCACCCCCACATAAACAGCAGGAAAGACATTAGTGTGAAATAGATACAACACCCCAAGAGATGAGGCTAAGCCCAGTGGGAAGGGAATCAGAGGCGACTAGAGACAGAGGGACAGAGAAGAGGGAGGGAGACAGATGGAAGGACCTGCACCAGGAGTTATGGGCACAGAAAAGAACATGAAGACACAGAGAGGAAGGAGAGAGACAGACACCAGCAAGGGGAAGCCTCACTCATTCTAGGTGCCATGGATGGGATGATAAAGAGAGACACCTTCTAAACTCACAACCTCTCTTCCTAGGAGTCCACAGAAAACCTTCCCTCCTGGCCCACCCAGGTCCCCTGGTGAAATCAGAAGAGACAGTCATCCTGCAATGTTGGTCAGATGTCAGGTTTGAGCACTTCCTTCTGCACAGAGAAGGGAAGTTTAACGACACTTTGCACCTCACTGGAGAGCACCATGATGGGGTTTCCAAGGCCAACTTCTCCATCGGTCCCATGATGGAAGACCTGGCAGGGACCTACAGATGCTACGGTTCTGTTACTCACTCCCCCATCAGTTGTCAGCTCCCAGTGACCCTCTGGACATCGTCATCACAGGTGAGAGTGTCCGGACATTCTTCTCATTGTCATTGGGATGCAGAGTGAATGATCCACGACTTGGAACCCCCAGGTAGTTGTAAGGAAGATGAGCTTGGTATTCTTATGGAGAGAGACTGACTTGGTGAGGTCTGTACCAACAGAGACAGAGAAACAGGAGACACAAGTACAGACCAGGTGTCATAACAGAGGACAGACACAGGGGCCATACCGGGAGTTAGAAAAGACAGAAGGAGTTAAAGGAGACAGACAGACAGACATGTCCCAGAGAGAGGTGTCCCTCCATGCTGACTTTGCTCAGAGACCTGGCACAGGTTAGAAGTTTCATTTCTGTTTTACCTCCACAAAGTGTTCTCTACCAGGAGAACCCAAGGACACCCATATTTCTGACCTGAGTTGGGCCCTGTGGCCTCAGGCCTTGTGGCACCTACAGATGCCGTGTTTATTCTGACACCTCTGCCTTCCATGTAATGGAGAGTAACCGTCCCAGGATATCATGGCCCCAGAACACCAACTCCTGTATGCTGTGTGAACTTGTGGTCTCCAGACTGGATTCTGAGGCTCACATTCCAAATAACCCCACATATGAAAGGATCACTGAGAGGCACAGAGAGAAATCAGGGACACCAAAAAGCAAAGACATAAACACACAGAGAATGAGCCAGAGGAAGGAGATTGAGAGACTCACAGACACATAAAGAGAGAGAAAAGAGGGCAGAGGAGTGGTGAGAATGATGGAAGGGAGCAGAGAAAAGCACTAAAATTAGACTCCTGAGGGAGAGGCACAAGGACATAGAAAGATGGAGATGTGGGGATGAATTGCAGAGATTCCAAAGAGAACTAGAGAGACCGAGAGGCAGAGCAAGACAGATGATAGAAGGTTAGATATAGATAGATGATAAATAGGTAGATGATAGATAATAGGTTAAAGATACATAGATGATGATTGATTGATTCATTAATAGATGAGACATAGAGATGATGATGATGAAGACAGATAGATAATACATAGAGATAGAGAGGCAGACAGAAGTCATAGAGAGAGAGATGATACATAGATATAGATAACAGATGATTGATGGATAGATAGACAAGTGATAGATACATAGATGATATATAGACATAGATGACAGGTAGAGAATTTGTAGATAGGCACCGAATAGATAAATAGATAGATCGATAGATAATAGATAGAAATATGCAGAAAGTTATGAACAGGACACAAAGTGAGAAACTTAGAATTTAAAAAAGTAACATCAAGTCAACCAATCCAAGGAGAGTCAGAGAGAATAAAAGAATCCAAAAAGGGAAAACATATCTAGAGGTGTGGAAGCGAGGTCAGAGACCTAGAGAGACAGAGAAGGTGGAAGGAGGAAATAGACATGAAGAGAGATGGGGTGGAGGGTGAGAGACAGAGAGAGAGAGCATTAGGTCATAGAGCAGGGGAGTGAGTTCTCAGCTCAGGTGAAGGGAGCTGTGACAAGGAAGATCCTCCGTAAGGAAAATGCCTCTTCTCCTTCCAGGTCTATATGAGAAACCTTCTCTCTCAGCCCAGCCGGGCCCCACGGTTCTGGCAGGAGAGAGCGTGACCTTGTCCTGCAGCTCCCGGAGCTCCTATGACATGTACCATCTATCCAGGGAGGGGGAGGCCCATGAACGTAGGTTCTCTGCAGGGCCCAAGGTCAACGGAACATTCCAGGCTGACTTTCCTCTGGGCCCTGCCACCCACGGAGGAACCTACAGATGCTTCGGCTCTTTCCGTGACTCTCCCTACGAGTGGTCAAACTCGAGTGACCCACTGCTTGTTTCTGTCACAGGTGAGGAAAGCCCATGGCTGTCCCATGTCCTATGATCCTAGAGCCTTAGCTGAGGAGCTTCCTGCTGAGGATGGAGAGAAGGATGAACAGATGCAGAGAGAAGACGAAGCTTGGGTGTGAGGGAGGGATCAGGGCACAGGATGGCAGACAGGGCACCTCCAAACCCTCCTACATGGCCTGCATGAAGGCCTGCGGCCAGGACTCCAGGCACCCAGGCAGATGGAGAAAGCGGTCAGGAGAGACCCAGAGGAGGGAGACTGGGCTCAGTTTGGGAAGATCAGAGGTTCCCTCAGCCCCTCAACATTACCCATTTCCCAGAAGCCCATCCTGGCCTCCCACCCACACAGGGATGTCATCACCTGCAACCCCTACACCCTTTACTTTTGTTTGAGAAATATTTATTGAGGATAAATATACCTATATAGCTTACCACCTTTAACATTTTTTTTTTGAGGCGGAGTCTAGCTCTGTCCCCTATGCTGGAGTGCATTGGCACAATCTCAGCTCACTGCAACTTCCGCCTCCTGGGTTCAAGCGATTCTCTTGCCTCAGCCACCTGAGTAGCTGGTGCTACAGGCGTGCACCACCATGCCAGGCTACTTTTTGTATTTTTAGTAGAGAGGGGGTTTCACCATGTTGGTCAAGCTGGTCTGGAACTCCTGACCACGTGATCCATCCGCATCAGCCTCCCAAAGTGCTGGGATTACAGGCATGAGCCACCACGCCCAGCCACATTTACCATTTTTAAGTGTAAAGTCTAGTGGTCATAAATACATTAATATATATATATATACACATATTTTTTTTTACCCTCCACCCTTTTCTTCCTGGCCTCTGGTAGCCACCATTCTACTCTCTACCTTCATGAGATCCACCTTTTAGCTCCTGTATATGGGTAAGAAATGGGAATCTTTGTAATGACCTCCAGTTCCATCCATGTGGCTGCAAATATCAGGATGTTTTTCTTTCTATGGAAGAGTAGTCTCCACTATGCAAATGTACCACATTCTCTCTATCCATTCACCCACTGATGGGCAGGTAGGTTGACTCCTCATCTTGGCTACTGTGAAGAGTGCTGCACCAATCATACGAGTGCAGATATCACTTCGATATATTGATTTACTTTCCTTTGGATATAAACCCAGTAGTGAAATTGCTGGATACTATGAAAGTTCTCTTTTTAGTTTTTCGTTTGTTGTTTTGTTTTTGTTTTTGAGACAGTTTCCCTCTGTGCCCAGGCTGGAGTACAAGTGATGTCATCTTGGCTCATTGCAACCTCTGCCTCCTGGGTTCAAATGATTTTCCTGCCTCAGCCTCCCTAGTATCAGGGATTATAGGCGCACGCCACCATGCCTGGCTACTTTTTGTTTTTTTTAGTATAGATGCGGTTTCCCCATGTTGGCTGGGCTGCTCTCAAACTCATGACCTCAACTGAGGTGCCCGCCTCGGTCTCCCAAAGTGCCGGGATTACAGGCATGATCCACCTCACCCAACCTCTTTTTAGTTCTTTAAAGGACTTCCACACTTTTCTCCGTAATGGCTGTACTAATTTACACTCCTACCAACAGGATACCAGGATTCTCCTTTCTCTAACACCTTGCCAGCATTTCTTTTGCCTGTCTTGCAGCTAAAAGCCATTTTATTTTATTTCATTTTATTTTGAGATGGAGTTTCGCTCTTGTCACCCAGGCTGAGTGCAGTGGTGCGATCTCGGCTCACCACAACCTCCACCTCCCAGGTTCAAGCGATTCTCCTGCCTCAGCCTCCCGAGTAGCTGGAATTACAGGCACACGCCACCACGCCCGACTAATTTTTGTATTTTTAGTAGAGACAGTGTTTCTCCATGTGGGTCAGACTGGTCTCAAACTCCCGACCTTATGAGATTCACCCACCTCAGGCTCTCAAAGTTCTAGGATGACAGACGTGAGCCACCACGCCCGGCCTAAAAGCCATTTTAATGGGGTGAGATGAAAACTCACTTTGATTTTAATTTGCGTTTCTCTGATGATGAGTGATACTGAGCACTTTTTCGTATGTGGGGAAATTTCATGTCTTTTGCTCCTTTTTCAATTAAATCATTTGTTTTATTGAGTTGTTTGAGCTTCTTATATTTCTAGTTATTAATCCCATCTCAGATGCATAGTTTGCACATATTTGCTCCCAATCTGTGGGTTGTCTCTTCACTTTGTTGGTTTATTTTTAGCGGTGCAGAAGTTGCTTAGTTTGAGGTAATCCCAATGGTCTATTTTTGCTTCGATTACTTGTGTTTTGAAGGTTTAAAACAAAATGTCTTCCTTCAGACAAACGTCCTGGAGCATTTCCCCAATATTTTCTTCTACGTGTTTCATAGGTTCAGGCCTTAGACTCACATCTTTAATCCATTTTCATTTGATTTTTGTGTATAGTGACAGGCAGAGGTGCAGTTTCATTCCTCTGCATGTAGATGTCCAGGTTTCCCTGCACTGTTTATTGAAAAGACTGTCCTTTCCTGATTGTGAGTTCTTGGCACCTTTGTCAAAGTCCATTGGATGGGCTGGGCATGGTGGCTGACACCTGCAATTTCAGCACTTTGGGAGCCCGAGGTGGGTGGATCACCTGAGGCCAAGAGTTCAAGATTAGTCTGGCCAACGTGATGAAACATCGTCTACACTAAAAATATAAAAATTAGCTGAGCATGGTGGTCAGCACCTGTAATACCACTACTCAGGAGTTTGAGGCAAGAGAAGTGATTGAACCCAGGAGGCTGTGGTGGCAGTGAACCGAGATTGCACCTCTGCACTCCAGCCTGGGTGACAGAGCAAGACTCCATCTCAAAAGAAAAACAAAAAATACATTGGAGGTAAATGCATGGATTATATCTGTGTTATTCATTCTGCTCCGTTGTTCTATGTGCCTTTCTTCATGCCAACGTCATGCTGTCTTGCTTACTACAGCTCTGTAACATATTTTGAGATCAGGTAGTGTGATGCTCCTGTTTTCTCTTTATACCTTGAAGTCTCAAGACAGTAGCCGTCACATACAAAAATTACGGAAAAAAGGATCCCAGGACTCCCAGGGCCCAATATTAGATAACAGAGTGTTGGCCATGAACCAACCTCAAAGATTTCCACTGAGTAGAGGACAGACACCCTCATTTCCTCACCTCTCTCCTGTCTCGTGTTCTAGGAAACCCTTCAAATAGTTGGCCTTCACCCACTGAACCAAGCTCCAAAACCGGTGAGTACAGAACCCTCTTATATCCGCTTTTGGAAACCTGGGGAGGTGGAAACCTTGGATTCAGGCGTTGACTCAGCATCTCACAGCTCTGACATTGTACGCCTGTCTTCTACCATCTCCGAACTCCAGATACTCCAACAGCGAAAGGGATCTGGACCCAAAACAGGGCTCAGTGAAATCTCTTAATCTCTCATTTTATGGAGCTGAGATCTCCTACAAGCTAGAAAAATGATTGGCAATCTGACATCCTTCTCAGGAAAAATGCAATGTTTGTTCTGCCTGCATTCCTAACTGGAGGATAAATTCCTGGGGGCTTGAGAGAGGGAAGGGTAGGGAACATTTGATGAGGGCAAGGTGTTTTAGAGAAGTTCCACTTGCCCAGGAATGAATTACTGTTGGTCATGAAGCAACCCTGGCTGACTCAGCAGAGCAAGAGCTTTGCCTTAACAGAGAACGGAGCTCATGCACGCACACTTCGACTCACTGACTCATTCAGCCACGGCCCCATGCTCAGGCCGTGGAAAAGGCAATTCCCAGCACTGCAGGAGGCCAAGGCGGGTGGATCACTTGAAGTCAGGAGTTCCAGACCAGCCTGGCCAAAATGGTGAAACCCTGTCTCTATGAAAAATACAAAAATTAGCCGAGCATGGTGGTGCATCCCTGTAATCCCAGCTCCTACTCTTGAGGATGAAGCAGGAGAACAACTTCAACCCAGGAGGTGGAGGTTGCAGTGAGTGGAGATTGCATCACTGCACTCCAGCCTGGGTGACACAAGGAGACTCCGTCTCAAAAAATAAAAATAAGAAATGCATAAATATAATAAAACACACACGAATGACAAAGGCACCTGAATTCCAATCATCATTTTTGTATTTCTCTATAATTACTTCTTTGATCCTTTGTCTTATCCATTAGGCAATGAGCCTAAAACCTCTTCCGTATTTGGCTTTCTGTGAGCATGAGACCATATAGAAAATGTGAAAGCCCGCTGAATCCTCCAGCACAGATCGTGGAATAGAGAAAGTGCTCTGTTCATCACAAAAAAAACTTGCCCTCTCACTCAAATCCCCCACTTCACCCCTACTTCCAATCACCTGTGGAGATTCAGATAGACCATGGGGAGGTAAACATTAATACTCCTTGGAGTGAGTCCAGATCTTGGAATGAGAGATCAGCACCAGCACTAGCTCCTGCTCCCCTTTCCTACTAATTCACAGGAGGACAGGTGGTATTGAAGCAATAGATGGTGGAGGGGGTGGTCCTTCCCCCAGCCTCTCAGGTAGAACAGCAGCCTAACATGTGTCTCCCGAGATCACAAAGAGTAGGACGTTTCACAGGGGCTTCAACACGATTTCCTGGCTGTTGGACATAAGATAACTCTATTTCGCTTTTTTATCTTGATTTCACTTTTGTTTCCTTTCCTTGGAGAACGCAAGTTGTTTGACTCAAGAATGCTGTGGATGTAGAAATCCTAAAGCACATTCGCTGTGTGTCAATCCCAGTGCAGTCTTCCCAGAAAAGACCCTAAACACCTCCTAGACTGCACCTGGGCCTACGCCAATTCCTATCACTCACCGTCACTCCAGGGAGACAGAACACACAGAGAATACGTTACATAGGCAGGTTCATTACTAACAGATAAGCAGCGAGTGAAAACAGAAGCCTACATTTCAATGTGAGCCAGTCCCTCAAGGCTCAGAAAAGCTGCTCGGGACATATGGAGTCACCCCATTTGCAGTGTAGCTGGGGGAAGCCAGAAAGCAGCCCAGCCTGGGTTTTGTACCCTGGAGCCACAGGAAGCACTCAGCTAAAGCACTGCATGACGTCCTCCTCCAGGAAGAACAGGAAGACAGCCCAGGCTGCTCTGGGACGTTCCTCCTGATCTCAGGACGTTGCTGTCTTAGTCCATTTTTGTTGCTCTAAAGGAACACTTGAGCCTGGGCAACTTCTAAAGAAAAGAGATTGGTTTGCCTCACCGTTCTGCAGGCTGTACTGGAAGCATGGCACCAGCATCTATTTCTCGTGATGGCCTCAGGCTGCTCCCACTCTGGCAGAAGGGAAGGAGGGTCTGTCTGTGCAGAGACCACAGAGATCACACGGCAAGAGAGGGAGCAAGGGGGAGGGGGAGCGATGGAGCTTCCAAGTTCTTTTGAACAACCAGCTCTCTGGGAACTAATAGAGGGGGAACTAGCTAACCCCGTCTCCTTGGGACAGCATTGATCTGTTCATGATGGATCCACCTCCATGACCCAAACACCTCTCAAGAGGCCCAACCTCCCACAATGGGGGTGAAATTTCAATGTGAGGTTTGAAGGGGTCAAACATCTCAACTAAAGTAGTTGTATCCTCAGCACATTCTATGGTTACTTTGAGAGCTATAACTGAGAAAGCAGGAGAAAGCTGGGTCTCCCGCCATCTGGGTGCTTGTCCTAAAGAGGTGTTTTACGTGGTTACCTGTCAATCAAGAAATGCGAGACAATTCATAAAGAGGAACTGCTATGATTAGCTTCTTATTGGTGTCTCATCTTCTTCCAGGTAACCCAAGACACCTGCACGTTCTGATTGGGACCTCAGTGGTCATCATCCTCTTCATCCTCCTCCTCTTCTTTCTCCTTCATCGCTGGTGCTCCAACAAGAAAAGTAAGTCTCACGAAGGAGAGGCCAGAGAGCTCAGGGCCATGTGGGGAAGCAGGATGGGAGCACTCAGGTGTGTGTTCCTCACAGGTAGGATGGTCCCTGGCCCAAGGCAGCAGCCACAGAGGCAGGACTTTCTAGAGAGGGCACCAGACTCCCTGTCCCTGCTTTCAGCTCACAGACCGTTGCCTGATTCTGAACTGTATCCTCATGTCCCCTGCAGCCACTCACATCCAGGAGAAGGTTCCATGACAGGCAGAAAGTGGGAGACAGAATCAATGGGATGGGAACTCAGAGCTATTCATGGGATGGGTCCTTGAGCTCAGAGAGATAGAATGTCTGAGTCTGCTGTTGGCAACTGAGGGACCTCAGGCACCTATGGCCTCCCCCTGTTTGTTGGTATCTGCTTATGAAATGAGGACCCAGAAGTGCCCTCCGAGCTCTTTTGTTGACTTCCGTCTCCTACACATGCTGCTGTAATGGACCAAGAGCCTGCAGGGAACAGAACAGCGAATAGCGAGGTAGGTGCTCCTCGGCCCAGCCTCGTGGCTAGTGTTATTCCCAAACAGTCCTGGAAAACGTGAGCACCCTCCCTCACTCAGCATTTCCCTCTCTCCAGGACTCTGATGAACAAGACCCTCAGGAGGTGACATACGTACAGTTGGATCACTGCGTTTTCACACAGAGAAAAATCACTCGCCCTTCTCAGAGGCCCAAGACACCCCCAACAGATACCAGAGTGTACACGGAACTTCCAAATGCTGAGTCCAGATCCAAAGTTGTCTCCTGCCCATGAGCACCACAGTCAGGCCTTGAGGGGATCTTCTAGGGAGACAACAGCCCTGTCTCAAAACCGGGTTGCCAGCTCCCATGTACCAGCAGCTGGAATCTGAAGGCGTGAGTCTGCATCTTAGGGCATCGCTCTTCCTCACACCACAAATCTGAATGTGCCTCTCTCTTGCTTACAAATGTCTAAGGTCCCCACTGCCTGCTGGAGAGAAAACACACTCCTTTGCTTAGCCCACAATTCTCCATTTCACTTGACCCCTGCCCACCTCTCCAACCTTACTGGCTTACTTCCTAGTCTACTTGAGGCTGCAATCACACTGAGGAACTCACAGTTCCAAACATACAAGAGGCTCCCTCTTAACACGGCACTTAGACACGTCCTGTTCCACCTTCCCTCATGCTGTTCCACCTCCCCTCAGAGTATCTTTCAGCCTTCTGTCAGCAGTAAAACTTATATATTTTTTAAAATAATTTCAATGTAGTTTTCCCTCCTTCAAATAAACATGTCTGCCCTCATGGTTTCGGTAATGGGACTCTTTTCTTGCCTAAGACTTCCAGTGTTATCATTACCATGTCCACATAACCCCATCTGTTCTCCACTGGGTTCTCACCCCCGGACTCTGAGTTTCTGGAAGCAGGGTGGAGCCTCATTTGTCTCTGGGACTCCTATTTCCATCCAAAGATGTAGCACATAGGAGGTTCCAAGGATCGTGAATCACATGAACAAGTGATATTCTTACTCTCTGCAGACCTGGAAATCTGGCAGAGTCATTCCAAGATGAAACATTTGTAGAGTCATAGGCCTTGTTAGTCTCATCTACACAGGGACACATATCAACACATCATCTTTCACACTATAAATATACAGTCACTCCTCCATATCTGTGGGGTTTACAGTTCTTTATTGAACCGAGTATAAATCAAAAATATTCAGAGAAAGTATCCACAGAGTTACAAAAAGCAGAACTGTGTTGAATGGACACAAATGAAGCTGTGTGTAGGCTGCATCAGGAATTATAAGTAATCTAGAGATGATTTCATGTATACAGGAGGATGTGCATAGGTTATTTGCAAACTCTGTGCCATTTCATATAAGAGGCTTGAGCATCTACAGATTTTGGTATCTGAGTGGAGATCTCGAAACCAATCACCCAGGAATAGTGAAGGATGACCGTATATGACTTTTATTTCTCAAATTTAAATATAAATCATAAAAAATGTACAACTAGATAAAAACTAAGAAGTGTTTTTATAGTGTGAGTTAGATTTATTTTTTCCTAGGTATAACCCATTGGTTTAATATTATTTATTGAGAAGACATTCTATGCCACCTTAAACCACACGGCAGCCTTTGTCAACTCTAAAGGGACTGTGTGTACACGGATGTACTTTAGACACTGTTTCTGCTAAGGGGCTCTCTGTGTCCACACTCTTGATGATGCTGCACTTTATGTAGCCTTATAGAACCCTTTAAATTTAGTAGCCAGAGCTCTCTAATTTGTTATTATAGGCTATTTGCTTTTTTTTCTTGAGGCGGAGTCTTGCTCTGTCGCCCAGGCTGGACTGCAGTGACACAATCTCAGCTCACTGCAACTTCTGCCTCCCAGGTTCAAGCGATTCTCGTGCCTCAGCCTCTTGAGTAGCTGGCGTTACAGGTGCCTGCCACCAGGCACGGCTAATTTTTGGATTTTTAACAGAGACACGGTTTCACTATATTGGCCAGGCTGCTCTCAAACTCCTTATCTCAGTTGATCCGCCCACCTCGGCTTCCCAACGTGCTGGGGAAACTTGATTTTCTATAGCATTATGTTACTGGATATTTCTGTAAAATTTAAAATGAGGGAGGGAGAGAGACAGACGGAAAACAAACTCCAGAGTTGGGACTCTGGAATCTTGGGTCATGAGACAAATTTTAGATTAAACTACAAAACTCCAGAATTTACAGGTGGGGTTTTTACTGATAAAGTACAATTCTAAGATTGTAAATAATTGCATAATCCTTCCCTGGGAATTTAAATCATTTTAACTGGTTCTGCTGTAATACTAGAAATACAAGCATGAAAAATTCTAATGGTTTGTTAGTCACAATGACTCTGAAAACATTAATAATACCTATTAGATATTTTGCATATTACACAGGAAGAAGAGTTTGAATCTCAGATAAAAACAATAGAAATACATGAAAAGTCTTTCATGTTAGCACAGATTTTAGGCATCTCGTGTTCGGGAGGTTGGATCTCAGACGTGTTTTGAGTTGGTCATAGTGAAGGACACTAGGTGTCAAATTCTAGCGAGAACAATTTCCAGGAAGCCGTGTTCCGCTCTTGAGCGAGCACCCACTGGGCCTCATGCAAGGTAGAAAGAGCCTGCGTACGTCACCCTCCCATGATGTGGTCAACATGTAAACTGCATGGGCAGGGCGCCAAATAACATCCTGTGCGCTGCTGAGCTGAGCTCGGTCGCGGCTGCCTGTCTGCTCCGGCAGCACCATGTCGCTCTTGTTCGTCAGCATGGCGTGTGTTGGTGAGTCCTGGAAAGCAATAGAGGGAGGGAGTGAGGGGATGGAGATCTGGGCCCAGAGGTGGAGATATAGGCCTGGAGGTGGAGTTATGGGCCTGGAGTGGAGATCTGGGCCTGGAGTGGATATATGGGCCTAGAGATGGAGTGATGGGCCTAGAAGTGGAGATCTGGGCCCAGAGGTCGAGATATAGGCCTGGAGGTGGAGTGATGGGACTGTAGTGGAGATCTGGGCCTGGAGTGGAGATAGGAACCTGGAGGGGAGATAGGAACCTGGAGGGGAGATATGGGCCTGGAGGTGGAGATATGGGCCTGGAGTGGAGTCATGGGCCTGGAGGTGGAGTTACGGGCCTGCAGTAGAGATATGGGCCTGAAGTGGAGACATGGGCCTGGAGTGGAGATATGGGCCAGGAGTGGAGATATGGGCCTAGAGGTCGATATCTGGGCCTGGAGTGGAGATATGGGCCAGGAGTGGAGATATGGGCCTAGAGGTCGATATCTGGGCCTGGAGAGGAGATATGTGCCTAGGATGGAGATACGGGCCTGGGTGTGGAGATATGGGACTGGAGAGGATATATGGGCCTGGAGTGGAGATATGGGACTGGAGAGGAGATATGGACCTGGAGTGGAGATAAGGGCCTGGATTGGAGATATGGGCCCAGGGTGGAGATCTGAGCCTGGATTGGAGATATGGGCCTGGATTGGCGATATGGGCTTAGGGTGGAAATATCGGCCTGGAGTGGAGATATGGGCCTGGAGTGGAGATATGGGCTTGAGGTGGGGATATGGACCTGGAGGCTGGGTCTCTGCACAGCCGACAGCCCTGTTCTTGGGTGCAGGTAGGCACTGAGGGTGAGTTTACCTTCAGCCCAGGAAGGGCCTGGCTACCAAGACTCACAGCCCAGTGGGGGCAGCAAGGGTGCCCTGGTTTGCCTGCAGATGGGTCATCCATCATGATCTTTCTTTCCAGGGTTCTTCTTGCTGCAGGGGGCCTGGCCACATGAGGGTGAGTCCTTCTCCAAACCTTCGGGTGTCATCTCCCCACATAAGAGGATTTTCCTGAAATGGGAGGGAAGTCCTGTCAGGGAGTCTCTCATAAACTAGGAAGAAGGGACCCTGGGGTGCTGGGCCCACATTTCTGACCTTGCCTCCCTGGCCTTTCATTCCCTTGGCAGAGTCAAGTTCTGTGGGGACCAGGGTTAGACTACGGTGCTCAAAGCTGGGGTGTGTGGTGGGGAAGTGGTAGGAACAGCAGATCCTCTGAGGACAAAGGTGTTACTCACACACTTCAGCGTTTCCATGACGGTAGGGGCTGCAGTGTGGCTGCTGTCATTCTACCAGAAGAGGTGGGAAAACCACAGCCATGGCCCTGACATTCCAATCCTCTGATGGGGACTCAGTTGTTTATTTTCGTTCAGGCATCGGCTGATATTCCATTCTCAAAGGACATGCCCTCCACCCCATGTCTACCCTGTGTTGTTTTATGTGAGTAATCTTACAGTATTAAAATCTAGTAGGAGTCTCTTACTCAGCACTTGCTCAAAGTTCTCAGCTGACACTTTTGTTGTAGGGAGACACCTTGTGTTTGCGGGATGGGTCCTTCCTTTAGCCCTGGGCACCAAGGTGTGATAGCAGCCATAGAAACTTGGAAAGCGAGGAGAATCTTCAGAGCACAGGGAGGGAGGGGCGGCTCCACATCCTCCTCTCTAAGGCGGTGCCTCCTTCTCCCCACGGTGGTCAGGACAAGCCCTTGCTGTCTGCCTGGCCAAGCCCTGTGGTGCCTCCAGGACATGTGATTCTTCAGTGTCATTCTTATCTTGGGTTTAACAACTTCAGTCTGTAAAAGGAAGATGGGGTGCCTGTCCCTGAGCTCTACAACATAATATTCTGGAACAGCCTTTTCATGGGCCCTGTGACCCCAGCACACGCAGGGACCTATACATGTCGGGGTTCACAACCACACTACCCCAGTGGGTGGTCGGCACCCAGCAACCCCCTGGAGATCACGGTCACAGGTCAGAGGGCTCCTGTCTGGGATTCTCCTTGTCCCACCTCCTGAATCCCAGAGCTCCTGGTGGGCGTGTCCTTGCGGGTCCCATCATGCAAGTCCTGACTGTATTTGGGGTAAAGGGGGATTGAATACAGGGAAATGGGTGCTGTGGTGGGAAGAATAATTGTCCCCAGTGATGACTACATTCTAATCCCTGGAGTCTGTGACTATTTATGATATAGGGGAAGGGACTGAAGGAGAAGATGGAGCTCAGGTTGTTGATGAGTTGACCTTGAGATGGGGAGACAGCCTGGACTGTCCTGATGGGCTCAGTGTAGTCACAGGGGTCCACATGAAAGGAGGAGGAAGAGGGGAGTGGGGATTACAGCAGCGCAATGGGAGACTCCACCAGCTTTGAAGGTGGAGGAAGTCCAGGAGCCATGAATGCAGGTGGCCTATAGAGGCTGGAAAAGTCAAGGAACTGATTCTCCTGAGTCTCCAGAGGGAACGAAGCCCTGCAGGTGCCTTGATTTTACCCACGACAAACAGGGTCCGATTTCTGTCTCCAGAATTGGAAGGGGTTAGTGTGCTCTCTCCTGGTGCCATGCTTCTGATAATTTTCTACAGCAGCAACAGGAAACCAACACTGGAACCCAGGTCAAGGACAAGTTAAGAAACAACACAAGGATAGCCAGGCATGGTGGCAGGTGCATGTAATCCTAGCGACTTGGGAGGCTGAGGGCAGGAGAATCACTTGAACCCAGGAGACAGAGGTTGCAGTGAGCCTAGACCACACCACTTCACTCCAGCCTGGGCAAAGGAGTGAGACTCTGTCGCCAAAATTAATTAATTAATTAAAGAAACCAAACAAGGAGAAGGTTGGCTACACTGAGATCAGCAAGGCTCAGATGATGATGCCACCACCAGGCTCCATCCACATAGGGAGCGGTTGATACTCCTCCAACCAGCACCAGGAGCCAGCCTATGGAAGCTGGCACTGGCATGGCAAGAGTGGCTCCCAGTCCCTACCAGGAACAGGGTGTGTGGCCACTGGTGCCTGCCTTACTGATCAGTTCATACCTCCTGCCAAGGATTCCAATTCGTCCAAAAGAGATTGAACCAGGCTGCTAAGAGCCTGGATGTGCAGCCTATCCTGGTTCCTCTTCCACCCCCACATAGACAGCAGGAAAGACATTAGTTCGAAATAGATACAACAGCCCAAGAGATGAGGCTGAGCCCAGCGGCAAGGGAATCAGAGGCTACTAGAGACAGAGGGACAGAGAAGAGTGAGGGAGACAGATGGAAGGACCTGCACCAGGAGTTATGGGCACAGAAAAGAACATGAAGACACAGAGAGGAAGGAGAGAGATAAGACACCAGGAAGGGGAAGCCTGACTCAATCCAGGTGCCATGGATGGGATGATAAAGAGAGACACCTTCTAAACTCACAACCTCTCTTCCTAGGAGTCCACAGAAAACCTTCCCTCCTGGCCCACCCAGGTCCCCTGGTGAAATCAGAAGAGACAGTCATCCTGCAATGTTGGTCAGATGTCATGTTTGAACACTTCCTTCTGCACAGAGAGGGGATGTTTAACGACACTTTGCGCCTCATTGGAGAACACCATGATGGGGTCTCCAAGGCCAACTTCTCCATCAGTCGCATGACGCAAGACCTGGCAGGGACCTACAGATGCTACGGTTCTGTTACTCACTCCCCCTATCAGGTGTCAGCTCCCAGTGACCCTCTGGACATCGTGATCATAGGTGAGAGTGTCCAGACTTTCTTCTCATTGTCATTGGGATGCAGAGTGAATGATCCAGGAATTGGAGACCCAGGTGGCTGTAAGGAAGATGAGCTTGGTATTCTTATGGAGAGAGACTGACTTGGTGAGGTCTGTGCCAACAGAGACAGAGAAACAGGAGACACAAGTACAGACCAGGTGTCATAACAGAGAACAGACACAGGGGCCATACCGGGAGTTAGAAAAGACAGAAAGAGTTAAAGGAGACACACAGACAGACATGTCCCAGAGAGAGGTGTCCCTCCATGCTGACTTTGCTCAGAGACCTGGCACAGGTTAGAAGTTTCATTTCTGTTTTACCTCCACAAAGTGTTCTCTACCAGGAGAACCCAAGGACACCCATATTTCTGACCTGAGTTGGGCCCTGTGGCCTCAGGCCTTGTGGCACCTACAGATGCCATGTTTATTCTGACACCTCTGCCTTCCATGTAATGGAGAGTAATCGTCCCAGGATATCATGGCCCCACAACACCAACCCCTGTATGCTGTGTGAACTTGTAGTCTCCAGACTGGATTCTGAGGCTCATATTCCAAATAAGCCCACTTATGAGAGGATCAGTGAGAGGCACAGAGAGAAATCAGGGACACCAAAAAGCAAAGACATAAACACACAGAGAATGAGCCAGAGGAAGGAGATTGAGAGACTCACAGACACATAAAGAGAGAGAAAAGAGGGCAGAGAAGTGAGAATGATGGAAGGGAGCAGAGAAAAGCACTAAAATTAGACTCCTGAGGGAGAGGCACAAGGACATTGAAAGATGGAGATGTGGGGATGAATTGCAGAGATTCCAAAGAGAACTAGAGAGACCGAGAGGCAGAGCAAGACAGATGATAGATGGATAGATATAGATAGATGATAAATAGGTAGATGATAGATAATAGGTTATAGATACATAGATGATGATTGATTGATTCATTAATAGATGAGACATAGAGATGATGATGATGAAGACAGATAGATAGATAATACATAGAGATACAGAGGCAGACATAGAGAAATCATAGAGAGAGAGAGATGATACATAGATATAGATAATAGATGATTGATGGATAGATAGACAATTGATGGATAAATAGATGATATATAGATATAGATGACAGGTAGAGAATTTGTAGATAGGCACCGAATAGATAAATAGATAGATCGATAGATAATAGATAGAAATATGCAGAAAGTTATGAACAGGACACAAAGTGAGAAACTCAGAATTAAAAAAAGTAACATCAAGTCAACCAATCCAAGGAGAGTCAGAGAGAATAAAACAATCCAAAAAGAGAAAACATATCTAGAGGTGGGGAAGTGAGGTCAGAGACCTAGAGAGACAGAGAAGGTGGAAGGAGGAAATAGACATGAAGAGCGATGGGGTAGAGGGTGAGAGAGAGAGAGAGAGAGCATTAGGTCATAGAACAGGGGAGTGAGTTCTCAGCTCAGGTGAAGGGAGCTGTGACAAAGAAGATCCTCCCTGAGGAAACTGCCTCTTCTCCTTCCAGGTCTATATGAGAAACCTTCTCTCTCAGCCCAGCCGGGCCCCACGGTTCTGGCAGGAGAGAATGTGACCTTGTCCTGCAGCTCCCGGAGCTCCTATGACATGTACCATCTATCCAGGGAAGGGGAGGCCCATGAACGTAGGCTCCCTGCAGGGCCCAAGGTCAACGGAACATTCCAGGCTGACTTTCCTCTGGGCCCTGCCACCCACGGAGGGACCTACAGATGCTTCGGCTCTTTCCATGACTCTCCATACGAGTGGTCAAAGTCAAGTGACCCACTGCTTGTTTCTGTCACAGGTGAGGAAAGCCCATGGCTGTCCCATGTCCTATGATCCTAGAGCCTTAGCTGAGGAGCTTCCTGCTGAGGATGGAGAGAAGCATGGACAGATGCAGAGAGAAGACGCAGCCTCGGTGTGAGGGAGGGATCAGGGCACAGGATGGCCGACAGGGCACCTCCAAACCCTCCTACATGGCCTGCATGGAGGCCCACGGCCAGGGCTCCAGGCACCCAGGCAGATGGAGAAAGCGGTCAGGAGAGACCCAGAGGAGGGAGACTGGGCTCAGTTTGGGGAGATCAGAGGTTCCCTCAGCCCCTCAACCTTACCCATTTCCCAGAAGCCCATCCTGGCCTCTCACCCACACAGAGATGTCATCACCAGCAACCCCTACACCCTTTACTTTTCTTTGAAGAAATATTTATTGAGGATAAATATACCTATATAGCTTACCACTTTTAACATTTTTTTTTGAGGTGGAGTCTAGCTCTGTCCCCTATGATGGAGTGCAGTGGCACAATCTCAGCTCACTGCAACCTCCGCCTCCTGGGTTCAAGCGATTCTCCTGCCTCAGCCACCTGAGTAGCTAGTGCTACAGGCACGCACCACCACGCCAGGCTACTTTTTGTATTTTTAGTAGAGAGGTGGTTTCACCATGTTGGTCGAGCTGGTCTCGAACTCCTGACCACGTGATCCACCCGCATCAGCCTCCCAAAGTGCTGGGATTACAGGCATGGGCCACCAGGCCCAGCCACATTTACCATTTTTAAGTGTAAAGTCTAGTGGTCATAAATACATTTTTATATATATATATATATACATTTTTTTTACCCTCCACCCTTTTCTTCCTGTCCTCCAGTAGCCACCATTCTACTCTCTACCTTCATGAGATCCACCTTTTAGCTCCTGTATATGGGTGAGAAATGGGAATCTTTTTAATGACCTCCAGTTCCATCCATGTGGCTGCAAATGACAGGATGTTATTCTTTCTATGGATGAGTAGTCTCCACTGTGCGTATGTACTACATTCTCTCTATCCATTCACCCACTGATGGGCAGGTAGGTTGACTCCTCATCTTGGCTACTGTGAACAGTGCTGCACCAATCATACGAGTGCAGATATCACTTCGATATGTTGATTTACTTTCCTTTGGATATAAACCCAGTAGTGAAATTGCTGGATACTATGAAAGTTCTCTTTTTTTTTTTTTTTTCTTTTTTGAGAAAGAGTTTCCCTCCTTAGCCCAAGCTGGAGTCAAAGTGGTGCAACCTTGGCTCATTGCAACCTCCGCCTCCTGGGTTCAAATGATTTTCCTGCCTCAGCCTCCCTAGTAGCTGGGATTACAGGTGCACACCACCATGCCTGGCTACTTTTTGGTTTTTTTAGTATAGATGCGGTTTCCCCATGTTGGCTGGGCTGCTCTCAAACTCATGACCTCAACTGAGGTGCCCGCCTCAGTCTCCCAAAGTGCCGGGATTACAGGCATGATCCACCTCACCCAACCTCTTTTTAGTTCTTTAAAGGACTTCCATACTTTTCTCCGTAATGGCTGTACTAATTTACACTCCTCCCAACAGGGTACCAGGGTTCTCCTTTCTCTACCACCTTGCCAGCATTTCTTTTGCCTGTCTTGCAGCTAAAAGCCATTTTATTTTATTTCATTTTATTTTGAGATGGAGTTTTGCTCTTCTCACCCAGGCTGGAGTGCAGTGGCGCTATCTCGGCTCACCACAACCTCCACCTCCCAGGTTCAAGCGATTCTCCTGCCTCAGCCTCCCGAGTAGCTGGAATTACAGGCACACGCCACCACGCCCTACTAATTTTTGTATTTTTAGTAGAGACAGCGTTTCTCTATGTGGGTCAGACTGGTCTCAAACTCCCAACCTTATGAGATTCACCCACCTCAGGTTCTCAAAGTTCTAGGATGACACAAGTGAGCCACCTCACCCGGCCTAAAAGCCATTTTAATGGGGTGAGATGAAAACTCACTTTGATTTTAATTTGCGTTTCTCTGATGATGAGTGATACTGAGCACTTTTTCGTATGTGGGGAAATTTCATGTCTTTTGCTCCTTTTTCAATTAAATCATTTGTTTTATTGAGTTGTTTGAGCTTCTTATATTTCTAGTTATTAATCCCATCTCAGATGCATAGTTTGCACATATTTGCTCCCAATCTGTGGGTTGTCTCTTCACTTTGTTGGTTTATTTTTAGCAGTGCTGAAGTTGCTTAGTTTGAGGTAATCCCAATGGTCTATTTTTGCTTCGATTACTTGTGTTTTGAAGGTTTAAAACAAAATGTCTTCCTTCAGACAAACGTCCTGGAGCATTTCCCCAATATTTTGTTCTACGTGTTTCATAGGTTCAGGCCTTAGACTCACATCTTTAATCCATTTTCATTTGATTTTTGTGTATGGTGACAGGTAGAGTTGCAGTTTCATTCCTCTGCATGTAGATGTCCAGGTTTCCCTGCACTGTTTATTGAAAAGACTGTCCTTTCCTGATTGTGAGTTCTTGGCATCTTTGTCAAAGTCCATTGGATGGGCTGGGCTTGGTGGCTAACACCTGCAATTTCAGCACTTTGGGAGCCCGAGGTGGGTGGATCACCTGAGGCCAGGAGTTCAAGATTAGTCTGGCCAACGTGATGAAACATCGTCTCCACTAAAAATATAAAAATTAGCTGAGCATGGTGGTCAGCACCTGTAATACCACTACTCAGGAATTTGAGGCAAGAGAATGATTGAACCCAGGAGGCTGAGGTTGCAGTGAACCGAGATTGCACCTCTGCACTCCAGCCTGAGTGACAGAGCAAGACTCCATCTCAAAAGAAAAAATAAAAAACCATTGGATGTAAATGCATGGAATATATCTGTGTTATTCATTCTGCTCCGTTGTTCTATGTGCCTTTCTTTATGCCAATGTCATGCTATTTTGCTTACTACAGCTCTGTAACATATTTTGAGATCAGGTAGTGTGATGCTCCTGTTTTCTCTTTATATCTTGAAGTCTCAAGACAGTGGGTGTCATATAAAAAAATTATGGAAAAAAGGATCCCAGGACTCCCAGGGCCCAATATTAGATAAGAGAGTGTTGGCCATGAACCATCCTCAAAGATTTCCACTGAGTGGAGGACAGACACCCTCATTTCCTCACCTCTCTCCTGTCTCATGTTCTAGGAAACCCTTCAAATAGTTGGCCTTCACCCACTGAACCAAGCTCCAAAACCGGTGAGTACAGAACCCTCTTATATCCGCTTTTGGAACCCTGGGGAGGTGGGAACCTTGGATTCAGGCGTTGACTCAGCATCTCACAGCTCTGACATTGTACACTTGTCTTCCACCATCTCCGAACTCCAGATACTCCTACAGCGAAAGGGATCTGGGCCCAACACAGGGCTCAGTGAAATCTCTTCATCTCTCATTTTATGGAGCTGAGACCTCCTACAAGCTAGAAGAATGATTGCCAATCTGACATCCTTCTCAGGAAAAATGCAATGTTTGTTCTACCTGCATTCCTCACTGGAGGATAAATTCCTGGAGACTTGAGAGAGGGAAGGGAAGGGAACATCTGATGAGGGCAAGGTGTTTTAGAGAAGTTCCACTTGCCAAGGAATGAGCTCCTGTAGGTCATGAAGCAACCCTGGCTGACTCCGCAGAGAAAGAGCCTTGCCGTAACAGAGAACAGAGCTCATGCACGCACACTTCGACTCACTGACTCATTCAGCCACGGCCCCATGCTCAGGCTGTGCAGTGTGGAACCTTTTCCTATTGTTGCCATAACAAATTTCCACAAGATTCGTGGGTGAAAACAAAACGGTTTTTTAATTATCTTACAGTGCTGTAGCTCAAAGTAGGAAGTGCATCTTACTGGGCTAAAATCAAGGTGACAGCAAGGCTGCCTTCCCTCTGAGGATTCCAGGCACGAATCTGCTTCTCACTTGTCCCAGCTTCTAAAGGCTCCCAGTTCCTTGGCTCCTGGTCCCCTTCCTCCTTCCTCAAAGCCCACAAAGACTGGTCACATCTCACATGGCATCACTCAGTGCCTTCTTCCTTACCACACCTCTTTCTCTGAGTGCTGCTCTCCCTTCTTCCTCATCTTTTGAAAACTTGGGGATTCTATTGGGTTCACCAAGATGAAAATCCCTCATAATCTCCTGGAAATCATCCAGGATACCCTTGTTTTAAGTTCAGCTGATTAGCAACCATAATTCCATCTGCAATCTTCATTCCTCCTTTCCATGTAAAATAACATATTCACAAGCTGTGGAGGCTAGGACAGGGACATTTTGGGGTGGGACAGCATTCTCCTGCCTTCCACAAACAGTGAACAAGATGCATTTGGCCTCTGCCCTTGGGACACTGATATTGCAGATGGTTAAATGGGAGGGCAGAAAATGAACGCACAAGTGGATCTATAAATGAATGGTCCATTGGGAAGCATCTGTGCATGAAATCTATTTTTTGTTTGTTCTTTTGTTTATTGAGACAGAGTCGCCCTCTGTCTTCCAGGCTACAGTGCAGTGTCACGATCTTGGCTCACTGCAACCTGCGTCTCCTGGATTCAAGGGATTCTCCTGCCTCCGCCTCTCGAGTAGCTGGGATTACAGGCAACTGCCACCGTGCCCGGCTAATTCTTTTTGTATATTTTTTGTAGAGAGGATGTTTCACCACGTTGGCCAAGCTTGTCTGAAACTCCCAACCTCAAGTGATCCGACCGTCTCAGCATGCCAAAGTAATGGGACTACAGGCGTGAGCCACTGTGCCCAGCCAGAATTCAAAATCAATAATAGATAATGCTGAGTGTATGATTTCAGGTGACAAAGAAGGTCTCACTATTCAGATATTTGTGACATTAATGAAAAACACGGAATGAACCCCTGAAAGATTGGCGGAAGGATTTTGCACACACAGCTGTCAGCCATGAAGGCACAAAGGTGAAAACAATCTGATGTGGAAGGAAGAGGCTCTGACTCAAATGCTGGGAATGAGGTGGGGAGAATGACAAGACGACTGTAGAGAGACGGAGAGCACACTGGGTACACAGGAAACTAAGGAGGAACAAGGAGTGTGTGCTTGACACTCACAGCCATTGGATTCACCTCGGGGTAACCAGGAATCCCTACATGATTAATATGACTGACATGAAAATAAGGGAGGCCCAGGTGCATAACTGGAATCTAGGAGACCGTGGAAAAGGCAATTGCCGCCCCACTGGTGAAATGTGGTGCTGATTTAGACACTAAATGAATGAAGTAGATGGATATAAGATATGTTTGTGAGGTAGAATCATTGACTGGAAAGGCTTACTGGGTTTGATTTTCCTACTTGTTTAATCCTCACTTAATTAATTTCTTTCTGAGATTTATTCATCCTACACATAAATCAATACCTGGCAAAGGAGTGACAGATATATGAGTGGTGGTGGAAATGAAGAGACTTATTATAGCATAATATACAAGTCTGTGAACAGTGGCTCACACCTGTAACCTAGCACTGCAGGAGGCCAAGGTGGGTGGATTCCATGAAGTCAGGAGTTCCAGACCAGCCTGGCCAACGTGGTGAAACCCTATCTCTACTAAAAATACAAAAATTAGCCGAGCACGATGGTGCATCCCTGTAATCCCAGCTCCTATTCTGGAGGATGAAGCAGGAGAATGACTTCAACCCAGTAGGTGGAGGTTGCAGTGAGTGGAGATTGCATCACTGCACTCCAGCCTGGGGGACACAAGGAGACTCTATCTCAAAAAATAAAAATAAGAAATACATAAATATAATAAAACACACACGAATGACAAAGGCACCTGAATTCCAATCATGATTTTTCTATTTCTCTATAATTACTTCTTTGATCCTTTATCTTATCCATTAGGCAATGAGCCTAAAACCTCTTCCCTATTTGGCTTTCTGTGAGCATGAGATCATATAGAAAATGTGAAAGCCCGCTGAATCCTCCAGCACAGATCCTGGAATAGAGAAAGTGCTCTGGTCATCACAAAAAAAACTTGCCCACTCACCCAAATCCCCCACCTCACCCCTACTTCCAATCACCTGTGGAGATTCAGATAGACCATGGGGAGGTAAACATTAACACTCCTTGGAGTGAGTCCAGATCTTGGAATCAGAGATCAGCGACAGCACTAGCTCCTGCTCCCCTTTCCTACTAATTCACAGGAGGACAGGTGGTTTTGAAGCAATAGATGGCCGAGGGGGTGGTCCTTCCCCCAGCCTCTCGGGTAGAACAGCAGCCTAATATGTGTCTCCCGAGATCACAAAGAGCAGCAGGTTTCACACGGGCTTCAACACTATTTCCTGGCCGTTTGACATAAGAGAATTCTATTTCGCTTTTTTTATCTTGATTTCACTTTTGTTTTCTTTCCTTGGAGAATGCAAGTTGTTTGATTCAAGAATGCTGTGGATGTAGAAACCCTAAAGCACATTCGCTGTGAATCAATCCCAGTCCAGTCTTCCCAGAGAAGACTCTAAACACCTCCTGGACTGCACCTGGGCCTATGCCAATTCCTATCACTCACCGTCACTCCAGGGAGACAGAACACACAGAGAATACGTTACATAGGCAGGTTCATTACTAACAGATAAGCAGCGAGTGACAACAGAAACCTATATTTCAATGTGACCCAGTCCCTCAAGGCTCAGAAAAGCTGCTCGGGACATATGGAGTCACCCCATTTGCAGTGTAGCTGGGGGAAGCCAGAAAGCAGCCCAGCCTGGGTTTTGTACCCTGGAGCCACAGGAAGCACTCAGCTAAAGCACTGCATGACGTCCTCCAGGAAGAACAGGAAGACAGCCCAGGGTGTTCTGAGACGTTCCTCCTGATCTCAGGAAGTTGCTGTCTTAGGCCATTTTTGTTGCTCTAAAGGAACACTTGAGCCTCGGTAACTTCTAAAGAAAAGAGATTGGTTTGCCTCACCGTTCTGCAGGCTGTACTGGAAGCATGGCACCAGCATCTATTTCTCGTGACGGCCTCAGGCTGCTCCCACTCTGGCAGAAGGGAAGGAGGGTCTGTCTGTGCAGAGACCACAGAGATCACACGGCAAGAGAGGGAGCAAGGGGGAGGGGGAGTGATGGAGCTTCCAAGCTCTTTTTAACAACCAGCTCTCCGGGAACTAATAGAGGGGGAACTTGCTAACCCCGTCTCCTTGGGACAGCATTGATGTGTTCATGATGGATCCACCTCCATGACCCAAACACCTCTCAAGAGGCCCAACCTCCCACAGTGGGGGTGAAATTTCAATGTGAGGTTTGAAGGGGTCAAACATCTCAACTAAAGTAGTCGTATCCTCAGCACGTTCTATGGTTACTATGAGAGCTATAACTGAAAAAGCAGGAGAAAGCTGGGTCTCCTGCCATCTGGGTGCTTGTCCTAAAGAGGTGTTTTATGTGGTTACCTGTCAATCAAGAAATGCGAGACAATTCATAAAGAGGAACTGCTAAGATTAGCTTCTTATTGGTGTCTCATCTTCTTCCAGGTAACCCCCGACACCTGCACATTCTGATTGGGACCTCAGTGGTCATCATCCTCTTCATCCTCCTCTTCTTTCTCCTTCATCGCTGGTGCTCCAACAAAAAAAGTAAGTCTCACGAAGCAGAGGCCAGAGAGCTCAGGGCCATGTGGGGAAGCAGGATGGGAGCACTCAGGTGTGTGTTCCTCACAAACAGGATGGTCCCTGGCCCAAGGCAGCAGCCACAGAGGCAGGACTTTCTAGAGAGGGCACCAGACTCCCTGTCCCTGCCTTCAACTCACAGACCGTTGCCTGATTCTGAACTGTATCCTCATGTCCCCTGCAGCCACTCACATCCAGGAGAAGGTTCCATGACAGGCAGAAAGTGGGAGACAGAATCAATGGGATGGGAACTCAGAGCTATTCATGGGATGGGTCCTTGAGCTCAGAGAGATAGAATGTCTGAGTCTGCTGTTGGCAACTGAGGGACCTCAGCCACCTATGGTCTCCCCCTGTATGTTGGTATCTGCTTATGAAATGAGGACCCAGAAGTGCCCTCCGAGCTGTTTTGTTGACTTCCGTCTTCTACAGATGCTGCGGTAATGGACCAAGAGTCTGCAGGAAACAGAACAGCGAATAGCGAGGTAGGTACTCCTCGGCCCGGGCTCGTGGCTACTGTTATTCCCAAAGAGTCCTGGAAAATGTGAGCACCCTCCCTCACTCAGCATTTCCCTCTCTCCAGGACTCTGATGAACAAGACCCTCAGGAGGTGACATACACACAGTTGAATCACTGCGTTTTCACACAGAGAAAAATCACTCGCCCTTCTCAGAGGCCCAAGACACCCCCAACAGATATCATCGTGTACACGGAACTTCCAAATGCTGAGTCCAGATCCAAAGTTGTCTCCTGCCCATGAGCACCACAGTCAGGCCTTGAGGGCGTCTTCTAGGGAGACAACAGCCCTGTCTCAAAACCGGGTTGCCAGCTCCCATGTACCAGCAGCTGGAATCTGAAGGCATGAGTCTGCATCTTAGGGCATCGATCTTCCTCACACCACAAATCTGAATGTGCCTCTCACTTGCTTACAAATGTCTAAGGTCCCCACTGCCTGCTGGAGAAAAAACACACTCCTTTGCTTAGCCCACAGTTCTCCATTTCACTTGACCCCTGCCCACCTCTCCAACCTAACTGGCTTACTTCCTAGTCTACTTGAGGCTGCAATCACACTGAGGAACTCACAATTCCAAACATACAAGAGGCTCCCTCTTAACGCAGCACTTAGACACGTGTTGTTCCACCTTCCCTCATGCTGTTCCACCTCCCCTCAGACTAGCTTTCAGTCTTCTGTCAGCAGTAAAACTTATATATTTTTTAAAATAACTTCAATGTAGTTTTCCATCCTTCAAATAAACATGTCTGCCCCCATGGTTTCGGTAATGGGACTCTTTTCTTGCCTAAGGCTTCCGGTGTTATCAGTACCATGTCCATATAATCCCATCTGTTCCCCACTGAGTTCTCATCCCCGGACTCTGAGTTTCTGGAAGCAGGGTGGAGCCTCATTTGTCTCTGGGACTCCAATTTCCATCCAAAGATGTAGCACATAGGAGGTTCCAAGGATCACGAATCATATGAACAAGTGATACTCTTACTCTCTGCAGACCTGGAAAGCTGGCAGAGTCATTCCACAATGAAACATTTGTAGAATCATAGGCCTTGTTAGTCTCATCTCCATGGGGACACATATCAACACATCATCTTTCATAATATAAATATACGGTCACTCCTCCATATCTGCGGGGTTTACAGGTGTTTATTGAACCAAGTATAAATCAAAAATATTGAGAGAAAGTATCCACAGAGTTTCAAAAAGCATAACTATGTTGAATGGACACAAATGAAGCTGTGTGTAGGCTGTATCAGGAATTATAAGTAATCTAGAGATGATTTCATGTATACAGGAGGATGTGCATAGGTTATTTGCAAACGCTGTGCCATTTCATATAAGAGGCTTGAGCATCTACAGATTTTGGTATCTGAGTGGAGATCTCAAAACCAATCACCCACGAATAGTGAAGGATGACCGTATATGACTTTTATTTCTCAAATTTAAATATAAATCATAAAAAATGTACAACTAGATAAAAACTAAGAAGTGTTTTTATAGTGTGAGTTAGATTTATTTTTTCCTAGGTGTAACCAATTGGTTTAATATTATTTATTGAGAAGACATTCTATGCCACCTTAAACCACACGGCAGCCTTTGTCAACTCTAAAGGGACTGTGTGTACATGGATGTATTTTAGACACTGTTTCTGCTAAGGGGCTCTCTGTGTCCACACTCTTGATGATGCTGCACTTTATGTAGCCTTATAGAACCCTTTAAATTTAGTAGCCAGAGCCCTCTAATTTGTTATTATAGGCTGTTTGCTTTTTTTTTCTTGAGGCGGAGTCTTGCTCTGTCGCCCAGGCTGGACTGCAGTGGCACAATCTCAGCTCACTGCAACCTCCGCCTCCCAGGTTCAAGCGATTCTCGTGCCTCAGCCTCTTGAGTAGCTGGCGTTACAGGTGCCTGCCACCAGGCACGGCTAATTTTTGGATTTTTAACAGAGACACGGTTTCACTATATTGGCCAGGCTGCTCTCAAACTCCTTATCTCAGTTGATCCGCCCACCTCGGCTTCCCAACGTGCTGGGGAAAACTTGATTTTCTATAGCATTATGTTACTGGATATTTCTGTAAAATTTAAAACGAGGGAGGGAGAGAGACAGACAGAGAGCAAACTCCAGAGTTGGGACTCTGGAATCTTGGGTCATGAGACAAATTTTAGATTAAACTACAAAACTCCAGAATTTACAGGTGTGGTTTTTGCTGATAAAGTACAATTCTAAGATTGTAAATAATTGCATAATCCTTCCCTGGGAATTTAAATCATTTTAGCTGGTTCTGCTGTAATACTAGAAATACAAGCATGAAAAATTCTAATGGTTTATTAGTCACAATGACTCCGAAAACATTAATAATACCTATTAGATACTTTGCATATTACACAGGAAGAAGAGTTTGAATCTCAGATAAAAACAAAAAAAATACATGAAAAGTCTTTCATGTTAGCACAGATTTTAGGCATCTCGTGTTCGGATAAAAATACATGAAAAGTCTTTCACGTTAGCACAGATTTTAGGCATCTTGTGTTCGGGAGGTTGGATCTGAGACGTGTTGTGAGTTGGTCATAGTGAAGGACGTGAGGTGCCAATTCTAGTGAGAACAATTTCCAGGAAGCCGTGTTCCGCTCTTGAGCAAGCATCCACTGGGCCTCATGCAAGGTAGAAAGAGCCTGCGTACGTCACCCTCCCATGATGTAGTCAACATGTAAGCTGCATGGGCAGGGCGCCAAATAACATCCTGTGCGCTGCTGAGCTGAGCTGGGGCGCGGCCGCCTGTCTGCACCGGCAGCACCATGTCGCTCATGGTCGTCAGCATGGCGTGTGTTGGTGAGTCCTGGAAAGGAATAGAGGGAGGGAGTGCCACATCCTCCTCTCTAAGGTGGCGCCTCCTTCTCCCCCAGGTGGTCAGGACAAGCCCTTCCTCTCTGCCTGGCCCAGCCCTGTGGTGTCTGAAGGAGAACATGTGGCTCTTCAGTGTCGCTCTCGTCTTGGGTTTAACGAATTCAGTCTGTCCAAAGAAGACGGGATGCCTGTCCCTGAGCTCTACAACAGAGTATTCCGAAACACCGTTTTCATAGGCCCTGTGACCCCAGCACATGCAGGGACCTACAGATGTCGGGGTTCACACCCACACTTCCTCACTGGGTGGTCAGCACCCAGCAACCCCCTGGTGATCATGGTCACAGGTCAGAGGGCTCCTGTCTGGGATTCTCCTTGTCCCACCTCCTGAGTCCCAGAGCTTCTGGTGGGAGTGTCCACCAGCGTCCCATCATCCAGACCCTAACTGTATTTGGGGTAAAAGGGGATTGAATACAGGGAAATGGGTGCTGTGGTGGAAAGAATAATTGTCCCCAATGATGACTGCATTCTAATCCCTGCAGTCTGTGACTATTTATGTTATAGGGGAAGGCACTGAAGGGGAAGATGGAGCTCAGGTTGTTGAGTTGACCTTGAGATGGGGAGACAGCCTGGACTGTCCTGCTGGGCTCAGTGTAATCACAAGGGTGCACATGAGAGGAGAAGGAAGAGGGGAGTGGCGATTAGAGCAGTGCAATGGAAGTCTCCATCAGCTTTGAAGGTGGAGGAAGGCCATGAGCCATGAATGCAGGTGGCCTATAGAGGCTGGAAAAGTCAAGGAACTGATTCTCCTGGGTCTCCAGAGGGAACGCAGCCCTGCAGATGCCTTGATTTTAGCCCTCAAAAAACAGGGTCCGATTTCTGTCTCCAGAAACGGAAGGGGTCAGTGTGCTCTCTCCTGCTGCCATGCTTCTGATAATTTTCCACAGCACCAACAGGAAACCAACACTGGAACCCAGGTCAAGGACAAGATAAGAAAGGACACAAGGATAGCCGGGCGTGGTGGCAGGTGCATGTAATCCTAGCAACTCAGGAGGCTGAGGGCAGGAGAATCACTTGAACCCAGGAGACAGAGGTTGCAGTGAGCCTAGACCACACCACTTCACTCCAGCCTGGGTGAAGGAGTGAGACTCTGACTCCAAAATTAATTAATTAATTAAAGAAACCAAACAAAGAGAAGGTTGGCTACACCGAGATCAGCAAGGGTGGGATGATGATGCCACCACCAGGCTCCATCCACATAGGGAGGGGTTGATACTCCTCAAACCAGCACCAGAAGCCAGCCTATGGAAGCTGGCACCATGGAGAAGGCACAGGCATGGCAAGAGTGGCTCCCAGTCCCCACCAGGAACAGGGTGTGTGGACACTGGTGCCTGCCTTACTGATCAGTTCATACCTTCTGCCAAGGATTCCAAATCGTCCAAAAGAGATTGAACCAGTCTGCTAAGAGCCTGGACGTGCAGCCTATCCTGGTTCCTCTTCCACCCCCACATAGAAGCAGGAAAGACATTAGTTCGAAATAGATACAACAGCCCAAGAGATGAGGCTGAGCCCAGCGGCAAGGGAATCAGGAGCTACTAGAGACAGAGGGACAGAGAAGAGGGAGGGAGACAGATGGAAGGACCTGTACCAGGAGTTATGGGCACAGAAAAGAACATGAAGACACAGAGAGGAAGGAGAGAGATAAGACACCAGCGAGGGGAAGCCTCACTCATTCTAGGTGCCATGGATGGGATGATAAAGAGAGATGCCTTCTAAAGTCACAACCTCTCTTCCTAGGAGTCCACAGAAAACCTTCCCTCCTGGCCCACCCAGGTCCCCTGGTGAAATCAGAAGAGACAGTCATCCTGCAATGTTGGTCAGATGTCATGTTTGAGCACTTCCTTCTGCACAGAGAGGGGACGTTTAATGACACTTTGCGCCTCACTGGAGAGCTCCATGATGGGGTCTCCAAGGCCAACTTCTCCATCGGTCGCATGACGCAAGACCTTGCAGGGACCTACAGATGCTACGGTTCTGTTCCTCATTCCCCCTATCAGTTGTCAGCTCCCAGTGACCCTCTGGACATCGTGATTACAGGTGAGAGTGTCTGGACATTATTCTCATTGTCACTGGGACACAGAGTGAATGATCCACGACTTGGAGGCCCAGGTGGTTATAAGGAAGATGAGCTTGGTATTCTTATGGAGAGAGACTAACTTGGTGAGGTCTGTACCAACAGAGACAGAGAAACAGGAGACACAAGTACAGACCAGGTGTCATAACAGAGGACAGACACAGGGGCCATACAGGGAGTTAGAAAAGACAGAAAGAGTTAAAGGAGACACAGACAGACATGTGCCAGAGAGAGGTGTCCTTCCATGCTGACTTTGCTCAGAGACCTGGCACAGGTTAGAAGTTTCATTTCTGTTTTACTTCCACAAAGTGTTCTCTACCAGAAGAACCCAAGGACACCCATATTTCTGGCCTGAGTTGGGCCCTGTGGCCTCAGGCCTTCTGGCACCTACAGATGCCGTGTTTATTCTGACACCTCTGCCTTCCATGCAATGGAGAGTAATCGTCCCAGGATATCATGGCCCCAGAACATCAACCCCTGTATACTGTGTGAACTTGCGGTCCCCAGACTGGATTCTGAGGCTCACATTCCAAATAACCCCACATATGAGAGGATCACTGAGAGACACAGAGAGAAATCAGGGACACCAAAAAGCAAAGACATAAACACACAGAGAATGAGCCAGAGGAAGGAGATTGAGAGACTCACAGACACATAAAGAGGGAGAAAAGAGGGCAGAGAAGTGGAGAGAACAATGGAAGGGAACAGAGAAAAGCACTAAAATTAGAGTCCTGAGGGAGAGACACAAGGACATAGAAAGATGGAGATGTGGGGATGAATTGCAGAGATTCCAAAGAGAACTAGAGAGACCGAGAGGCAGAGCAAGACAGATGATAGATGGATAGATATAGATAGATGATAAATAGGTAGATGATAGATAATAGGTTAAAGATACATAGATGATGATTGATTCATTCATTGATTAATCGATGATACATAGAGATGATGAAGATGAAGATAGATAGATAATACATAGAGATAGAGAGGCAGACAAAGAGAAATCATAGAGAGAGAGAGACGATACATAGATATAGATAATAGATGATTTTTGGATAGACAATTGATAGATAAATAGATTATATATAGATATAGATGACAGGTAGAGAATTTGTAGATAGGCACCAAATAGATAAATAGATATATCGATAGATAATAGATAGAAATATGCAGAAAGTTATGAACAGGACACAAAGTGAGAAACTCAGAATTTAAAAAAAGTAACATCAAGTCAACTAGTCCAAGGAGAGTCAGAGAGAATAAAACAATCCAAAAAGGGAAAACATATCTAGAGGTGAGAAAGTGAGGTCAGAGACCTAGAGAGACAGAGAAGGTGGAAAGAGGAAATAGACATAAAGAGAGATGGTGTGGAGGGTGAGACAGAGAGAGAGAGCATTAGGCCATAGAGCAGGGGAGTGAGTTCTCAGCTCAGGTGGGAGGGGAGTTGTGACAAGGAAGAACCTCCCTGAGGAAACTGCCTCTTCTCCTTCCAGGTCTATGTGGGAAACCTTCTCTCTCAGCCCAGCCGCGCCCCATGGTTAAGGCAGGAGAGAGCGTGACCTTGTCCTGCAGCTCCCGGAGCTCCTATGACATCTACCATCTATCAAGGGACGGGGAGGCTCATGAACTTAGGCTCCCTGCAGTGCCCAAGGTCAATGGAACCTTCCAGGCCAACTTTCCTCTGGGCCCTGCCACCCACGGAGGGACCTACAGATGCTTCGGCTCTTTCCGTGACTCTCCCTACGAGTGGTCAGACCTTAGTGACCCACTGCTTGTTTCTGTCACAGGTGAGGAAACCAGTCTGTTCCCCAAATAGTGGGACTCAGATGGACTACAATGGCCACATTCAGGGGAGCCTCAGATGGAGGGGGTGGCCATGGGGGTGTCAGCCAGAGATGCTGGACAGAAGAGACACAAAGCAAACATACAGAAAGAGGCATAGACAGACAGACAGAGCGAGGCAGACAGATCACATTAGGGTTTGGGGTGGTAACTGCAACCCTACCTGAAGCTTGCAGATAGAGCACAGGCCACATAAACCACTTCCCAGTCTTTGTACAGAAGCCCACCTGGGACACATGTAAACAGCATCAATGCTGACTCAGGAGCATGAAAGGCCGGGCTCAGATTGGAAAGACTAGAGGTAGCATTGGCCGCCCGCCATTGCCCATTTCCAGAAGCCCCCACCTCTCACCAAAGAGTGATTTCCACATGGGGGGCACAGATGCAACCATCGTTGGGGGAGCCCCAATGTCTCTTGATGGGAGGCATTTTCCACCCTAGATGTTTTTTGCTCTCTCCACACCTTGGAGACTCAGTGGGGGAGTCTTCTCTGGGGACTCGGGGAGGGCCTCCCTGGGACTCGCAGGATTTCCAAGCTAGATGACAACATGACAGGTGGAAACAGGCCCATTCCTTCGCCAGGGGCCCCAAGCTCCATCCCAGGAGATGAGAAGAGGCTCTTCTCATTGGTCAGTGGATCCCTGAGGGGACAGAGGCTCAGCACTGAAGGCTGAGAAGGATCTGCCACTTCGCTCAGTGGCCTCAAGCCAGACATCTTCCCTACAGACTTGCAGTGATTCTCCATCAGCATTTAGGGCTGTGGCCACCAACCTGGGTGTTGGTCTGTAGGAACTTTTCATTTCTGACCTTCCATAACTGAGTTCTCTTCCTAAATGTGGAATGCCTTGTACTCCATGTTACTCTCTCCCCAGAAAGAATGTGTGGCTTGTCTGCTCTCCAGCCCTGTCATGGAGATTGATAATCCTTAGGGAGCAAGAGGAGAGGGAAAGAACAAAGTATGAGACCACCTAGGTGCTACTGGTTGAGGTTCCATTTGCCAGTGAAGGGACTTCACTCAGCCGAGGGGGCAACTCAGGGAAGTCAGCCGAGGGAGGGCATTAGAGTAGAGAGAACTGAGCTCACCCAGTAAATGACCCCTTCACTAACTCATTCATCTAATATTTATTTCACACCTACCATCAGTTCTCTCTGTTTCATGGCCAGGAGTAGACAGCACGGCCAAGCTCCTGGGTTCATGATGCTCACATTGCTGTGGGGTGGGAGAGAGAGGCAGAACATGAATGAATGAATGAGAGAATGAATGAATGAGTGAATGATGGAATGAGTGAATGAATGAATGAATGAATGTATGAATTAGTGAGTGAATCCTTAGCACTTGGTGAAAGTGCCATGCACAGAATGAAATGAATGAACGTGGAACGTTGTCATTTGGAGTGTACAGGAGGGAACGTCTCACTGAGACCTCATCAGAGAGATCACATTTAAACTCCGATCTTAGAGACAAGAGGGAGTGAGCCCTGGGGAGTGTATTGAAAGGAACTTTCATGGACTTAGGACATTGGGGATGACCCTAATGTGAGAATGAGCTTGGTGTGTTCCAAGAAGTCCATGGACCTGCCATATGGTGAGGGCTGGTCAGAATCCAGAGAGATTTCTAAATGCCCTTGTGCTTGTAAGGAAAGTGAGTCCTGTGGTTGGGAGTGGACTTATACCTTGGGTCAGGTCCAGCAATTATCTTTCTAAATCCTCTCTAATTGCCTGAACCACTTCTATCAACAACTGAGAAAAGAGGAGTGTTAAACACCCCACTGTGGCCGTGGATTTGCCTACCTGTCCATTTATTTCCGCGACTCTTCCTCCATGTATATTTGCAGGAATATTACTGGGAGTGGTTAAGTGTAAACTGATTATATATTCCTGGTAAATTTAAAATGCTATAAATTTACCTGCTTTTTTCCTACATTTTATGCTTAATGTTTTCCGCTGATTTTTCCCAAAGACTAATTTTGTCTAATTTTAATATAGTTATACCACATTTCTAACAGTGATTGCTTGGTATATTTCTACATTGTTTAATTTCAAACTCCATGAATTGTTAACATTGAGATGTGTCCTTTGTAAATTTCAAACAATTCGCCTTAGAAAGTAAGACTTTCTGACAATCTTTTGTTCATGTTTGAGCAGTTCTTCCAATCATATTTTTGTTATTATTACGTTGTGTTTTCCTGATTCCCTTTTTTTCCCACTGACTTCTGTGGTTTTCTATTTCAAACATTCTATTTTTGATCTATGTCGTTTAGGAATACATATATGGTGTACTCATCCTGAAGTTGTTACATATTTTTAAAATTGAAATTAATCATTTCAGAGATTAAACTGCAAATATAAAAACATATTTCCACTCTTCCTGTGTAAGAACAGGATTTTAGAGCATATTTAGTACATATGTTTGTATTTACTTATATGATGTTTTGTTTTGTGGTATACATAATTCTATCTTTTTCAGAAATTACACAGGGGCGTGTTTTCATACACTATCGTATGGTCCATATTCATTTTTGGCATAGCCATATTTTTAGTTCTTCCTCTGCTCTTAGTTATTGTCAGAATCTTCGACACCCCATCTGGTTTCACTTTCTTTATCTTTGAGGCACGGTCATCAGAATTTCCTTTAGGGTCAGTGAGAAAAGCTTTCTTTGCCCTTTTGTCTTTCAGTTCTGTTTCTTTCCTGCGTTGATCTTGGACAGTAACTGTACTATGTAAGGAATTGTCGGTGGCTGGCGACGGTATCTTAGCTGGGTAAAGATGCTATTCTACTGGCTTATGTTTTCCTTTTTTCTGTGGGGAAGACAATGCTTGGCTCCCTATAAATCCTTACCAGCTGATCCTTTTCCTCTGGCTAATTTTAAGGGTTGGTTGTGCTTTTATGCTGCTTTTCTGTAATGTTGAACGTGAGGTGTGTTTACTTCATTCTGCCTGGCATTCACTGGATTTCTTGAACCTGTGGATTGATGGATGTGTCTACTTCCTCCAAATAATCAACAATTGCCTCTTTAAAGATTGCTTCTGACCTGTTTTCTCGTTCTTTCTTTTTGGAACTCAAGTTAGGAGCATTCTAAAACTGTTGTCAATTTTTACCCTGTCACAAAACTGCTCTTTCTTGTTTCAGTTATTTGCTTTTTCTGTGCATTAATATTGATGGTTTCCTCTGTCATAGAGGATAAATACTCTCTTCACTGTTGTGTACACAACATTTTAACTAGTTATTCTGGTTTAAATTTAATATTGACTTTATCTACATATCACAATTGATTACTGTGTACAGACTTTCTTTTCTATTAGTATAAATTTATGAGGTACACTTGTAATTTTGTGACATGAATATGTTGCAGAGTAGTGAAGTCAGGACTTTTACTATATCCATCACCCAAATACCGTACATTGTACTCATTAAGCAAATTCTCATCACTCACCCACGTCCCGCCACCCTCCAGCCTTCTAGCCTCCGCTGTCCGTCATTCCACACTCTACGTCCATATGTACACATTACTCCCCTCCCATGTAGAGTGAGAAGATGTGGTATTTGTCTTTCTGAGTGGTTTTATGTAAAATAATGGCGTCCAGCTCCATCTATGTTGCTGCAAAAGACATGGTTTTATTTTTATGACCAAATAGTATTTCGTTGTGTATACACGCATCCTTTTTTTAATCCAATCATTCATTCACAGACACTTAGATTGATTTCATATCTTTGCTATTGCAAACAGTGCTGCAATAAACATACAGGTGCAGATATTTTTTGAGTAGATACCCAGCAGCGGGACCCCTAGATCGAATGGTGCTTCTATTTTTGGTTCTCTGCCAAATTTCCATACTGTCTTCCATAGAGGCTATACTAATTTACATACCGGCCAACAGTGTATAAGAGTTTCCTTTTCTCTGCATCCTTGCCAACACCTGTTATATGTTTCACTTTTTCTTTTTTTCTTTTTGAGATGGAGTCTTCCACTGTCACCCAGGCTGGAGTGCAGTGCCGCCATCTCCACGCGCTGCAACCTCCACCAACCAGGTTCAAATGATTCTCCTGCCTCAGCCTCCTGAGTAGCTGGGATTACAGAACCACACCACCATGCCCAGCTAATCTTTTGTATATTTAGTAGAGATGGGGTTTCACTATGTTGGTCAGGCTGGTCTCAAACTCCTGACCTCATGATCCACCCGCCTCAGCTTCCCAAAGTGCTGGGATTACAAGCGTGAGCCACCACTCCCCACCAGCATTTTTAGTAATAGCCATTCTGACTACTGTAAGATGATATCTCATTGTGGTTTCAATTTGCATTTCTCTGATGATTAGTGATGTTCATACGCTGTTTGGCCATTCGTATGTCTTCTTTTGAAAAATGTCTATGTATATCCCTTTGCCCACTTTTTAATGCTATTATTTGAGGGGTTATGTTTAGTTGTTTGAGTTGCCTAGAAATTCTGGATGTTAGTCCTCTGTTGGGTGCATAGTTTGCAAACATTTCCATTCATTCTGTGGGTTGTCTGTTCACCCTGCTACTATTTCCTTTGCTTGGCAGAAGCTCTTTCGTTTATTAAGTCCCATTGGTCTAGTTTTATTTTTATTGCCTGTGCTTTTGAGGTCTTAGTGATGAATTCTTTGCCCAGACCAATGCCCAGAAGAGTTTCTGTTTGGGTTTCCACCGGTGATTTTATAGTTCTGGATTTACATTTAAGCTGCTAATTACCTTAAGTTAATTTATGTGTATGATTACAGATACAGGTCCAGTTTTATTCTTCTGCATATGGCTATTTAGTTTTCCCAGCACCTTTTATTGAAAAGGAAATCTTTCTCCAGTGTATGTTTTGTTAACGTCGTCAATGATTATTCACTGTAGATATGAGGCTGTATTTCTGGGCTCTCTATTCTGGTCTATTGATCTCTGTTTCTGTGTCTATACCAGCACTGTGCTATTTAAGTTACTATAGCCTTAGAGCATAGTTTGAAGTCAGATAGCGTGATGCCTCCAGGTTTCTACATTCACCTAGAATTGCTTTCTCTATTAGGATCTTTTTTGGTTCTGTATGAATTTTAGGATTGCTTTTTCTAATTCTGTGAAAACTGGTGTTACTATTTTCATATAAGAATTGCACTGAATCTGTAGATTGCTTTAGGCAGTATGGTCATTTTAACAATATTAATTCTTATGATCCATGAGCGTGGGATTTTTTTTCTTTTTTTTTTTTGTATTATCTATAATTGCTTTCATTGGTGTCTTACACCTTTCCTGGTACAGATCTTTCACCACCTTGGTTAAATGTATTCCTGAGTGTTTTAATTTTGCGTATCTATTGTAAACGGCATTGCCTTCTTGATTTGGTTCTCAGCTAGATCATTATAGGTGTAGAGAAATGCTACCGGCTTTTACATATTGATTTTGTATTCTGAAACTTTACTTAGTTCATTTATCAATCATAAGAATTTTTGGCAGGGTCTTTAGGATTTTCTAGATTTAAGATCATAGCATCAGAAATAAAAATAATTTTACTTCCTCTTTTCTAATTTGGATTTTTAATTCTTCCTGTTGCCCAATAGCTCTGACAAGGCTTCCAGTACTATGTTGATAGGAAGTGGTGGATGTCCGTGTCCTTGTCTTGTGCCAGTTCTCAGAGGAGTGCTTTTAACTTTTCCTGTTCAGTATGATGTTGACTCTAGATATGTCATCTATGGCTTTTATTATTTTGAGGTATGTTCTTTCTATGCCTAAGTTTTTGAGGGTTTTCATCAGGTAAGGATGTTGAATTTCTTTTCAGATGCTTTTCTTTATGTCTATTGAGATGATCATATGGTTTTTGTTCTGGATTCTGCTCGTTCTTCTAAGTGGATGAGACATGCCAGAAAAGCATTTAGTCAGCCATCTTGGAAACAAACATCTCAGATGTTTTCTTTCTCTATAGCTCATTCTTTCTTACCAGTGTTTTCAATTTTGTACTTAATTTTGTAAAGAGAGTAAATGATATAATTTCCACATATGTTTCCTCTGCCAAATCAGACTCACTATGCTTCCTTTCCTTGTATGCATAACCTACCCAGCAATACACACAAACATTTATTGCTTTGGAGAATTAGTTTGGGAACATTTTTGAAATGTACAAAAAAATGTATATCTTCAAAAGAAATTTCTTTTTGTGGCAAAAGACTTCTGAAGGTGCTCATGATGATATAGGGAGAAGAGGGGTTCTGGACAGGAAGAATTTTATGAAGGTGAGATGGGGAAATAGCTCCATTTCAGAGCTTCTGGGGAGAGAGGGGCCTGGCCCACATGGAAAGGTCTCTGATCTTACCCCCACCCTCCAGCCCCTGTTCTCCAGAACTATACTGTGGAGAGTTCCATCAGGATTGTTGTGGCTGGTCTGGTCTTCCTGGCTCTTTTGGCAATGCTGGCTAAGACCTGGTGGAGACATGAGGGGCCACAGGTGGAAATGGAAGAAACATGACTGAAGCTGGCTGGAGTGAATGGCGCGACATTCTGTCTGTGGGAGATTGGCCAGATGGGTTTCAAGTGTGTTGTATCAGCTGTGACTTTTAGTAATGTTCTTGCTACCACAATATCCACTCGTCCATCCCGAATAATTGTGATGAAATATTGTCCTTGGGATAATATTCATTTGCTAAAGACAGGGATGATACCTCAAGGTGCCACTATATACATCGAGGGGATCCACAAAAGTCCATTCAGTAAAATGTAGTTGGCATCTTAGGGTAGGTTGATTCCACCTCTAAAAAAGTAGGTACAACATCAGGTTGATTTTTCCGAAGAAAAGTGGTGATTGGCCATCTTTAGTCTCAATGTAAACGGTAATACTGATGAGTGTGGAAAAGGCAGGGAAGAGGATTGACAATAAGTGACACTCATTGTTTTCATCTGAGCTTTGAGACTGAAAGAGGAACACAGGAGTGAGATGTATGGGAACAAACCCCTTCTTTTTCCAGCTAAACAGAGTGGAAGTTGGACACTGAGTTTTGGCGTACAGCAAAATCCTAAGTCCATTGTTGGGTTGAACACGGCCATGTTGTACATCCTGGTTTCACAGCAGACACTGGAGGAAAACAGCCTGTATTCATAAGAGGCTGTCCCTCGGGTCACTGCCCAGAATATCCGGAGTTGGTGCTCACAGGGTTGGGAACTCTCCTGGACCAGACAGGCTCTGGATATGGGGGGGTACCAAGCTCCCCGGGGCCATGCCTCCACAGCTCTCTTCTCACCTCATTCTTGACCATTTCCCAAACCTCTGACCTCACCTTCATTCATCCATGGTGAACACGCTAAAGCTGGCCTTCAAAGCTTGAGACAGAGGAAAATTGGGCTTCATCTCTGGGAACTAAATTGGGGAGTGGAGACTCAGTTCTGGCCTGACAGGAGGGAGAAGACCCTGGATCCCAGTGTGGATGGGAAGAAGTATGTGTTTCTCTTTTGTGCTTGGACCCTGTGTCCAAGCATGTCTGAGATGTGATGAAGATGAATCTTCCTTTCCTTGTCTATTTTCTCATGCCAGAGAATTGGAATCTTATATTCCATTAACTCTTTCTGTTCTGTTCATCCAGATTCTATGAAGGAGAAAGGAAAAGATGTGATACTGTAATTTTGCTCCATTTGTCTAAAATGAGTAGGCTGCAACTCCTCTTGAAGTGATACCTTTTCTAGCTCTTGTTGGAGGTGTCTCAGGACTCATTACTTCGGGGAACCTGCAACTGTGTCAGTCTGGGGAAACTGCAAATATTCTTGTCTTACATTTGTCTCCAGCCAATTGTGATGGACTCCAGTGACCTGCAATTGCTGTTATTGCAGGTAAAATGTACCTGAGTCAGGCCACAGTTCTCCTGGACTATGAGCCCCTGGCCATGTTCCTGAGGCAATTCTGTTCATCTAAATATAATAATAATAACACACTAAAAATGGCAAGCCATTGTTAATTCCTGAAGTCTCATTTGAAAATTACTAAATGTCTGTTATTTTTTGGTGTTTACATTATATGTAGACAGATAAACTACACACACACACACACACACATGCACACAGAAGAATGGATTGGTTCATGTAGAAAAGTAAATAATTCAAGATGAAAGGATGAAATGTCATGGCACCTACTATTCTATTTTAGATAAAGGGTCTATGAAAAGATTGATTTCTTTTTATGTTTTATTTGTTGACATTTGAACACAAACTATGTAAGTGAGGGAGTCGATTTGAAAGGGAGAAGAGCAAGTTCAAACACATTCAGGTGAGGTCATGCTTTACATGTTTTAATTGAAATGATCCATCTTGGGAGTAGATCAATAACTGAGATGGTGCCAGGAATGTTAAAAAGCTTTTGTCAGTCCTAAATATTGACAAATAAAATTTAATTAAAGTCTTAGAAGAAAACACAAAGGAAAACTTCACAACATCGGATTTGGCAGTGATTCTTTAGATGTGACAACAACGGCACAGGCTACTACAGAAAAAATAAACAAGTTAGACTTTATGAAAATTTTGAAATATTGTGACTCAAAAGACAACATCAGTTACTTCACATGGCAAGGAAAAAGAACTTTTAAGACGATATTATCAAAGTAAAAAGACAACCCACAGAATGGGAGAAAATGTTTTCAAACCACACCACCTGTAAGGGATTAACATCCAGAATATACAGACAACTCCTAAAACTCAATCACAATAAACTCAATTCAAAAATGGGCAAAGTACTGAAACAGACATTTCTCCAAAGAACATACGCATGAAAAGATATTCAGCATCACGAATCATTAGGGAAATACTAACTAAAACTACACCAGATGCCATTTCATACCCCTTAGGATGGGTATCATCAAAACAACAACAACAACAACAACAAAGTTTCTATACATTAACAACAAACTATCCAAAAAAGTTTACAAGAAAATAAGCCCATTTGCAATAACTACAGAAAACAAAACATGCAGGAATAAATTCACCCAAGGAGTAGAAAGATCTGTATGCAAAAGCTATAAAACATTGATGAAAAAACTCAAGAAATAAACAAATAAATCGAAAGATATTCCATGTTCACGGATCAGAAGGATTAATGTTGTTAAAATGTCCATTCTATCCAAAGTGATTCAATGCAACCATTATCAAAAATCCAATGACATTTTTTTTACAGAAATAGAAAAAACAGTCCTAAAATTCATGTGGAACCACAAAAGATCTCAAATAACCAAAGCCATCTAGAGGGAAAGGAACAAAGTTGGAAGCATCACATTACCTAAACACAAACTACATTACAAAATTACAGTAATTAAAACAACACAGTACTTGCATAAAAACAGACACATAGACCAATGGAAGTGATTCATAGCCCAGGAAAAAAATGCATGCATTTAGGGTCAAACAATTTTTGGGATGTGTCAAGAACACACAATGGAGAAGGAACAGTCTCTTTAATAAATGGGATTGGGAGACTGCATGTCCACATGCAGAAGAATGGAAGTGGACATTTGCCTCACAAAACATACAAAGTCAACTCAAGATAGATTAATGACTTAAATGTAAGATGAAAGACTATAATCCCAGCAATTTGGGAGGCCAAGGTGGGCAGATCACCTAAGGTCAGGATTCCAAGACCAGCATGGCCAACATGGTGAAATCCCGCCTCTACTAAAAATACAAAAACAGCTGGGTGTGGTTGTGGGTGCCTGTAATCTCAGCTACTCGGGAGGTTGAGACAGGAGAATCACTTGAACCCAGGAGGTAGAGGTTGCAGTGAGCCGAGATCGCACCACTGCACTCCAGCCGGGGCAACACAGTGAGACTCCATCTTAAAAAAAAAAAAAAAACTACTAAAAGAAATCAAGGGAAAACTCCACTGGCTTGGGCAAAACCATTTTGGATATTAACCCAAAGGCCCAGGCAACAAAAGCAAAAGTAGACAAATAACATTATATCAAATTGAAAGTTTCTGCAAAGAAAAAAAAAACTCAACAAGTGGAAAGACAACCTATGGAATGGGAGAATATATTTGCACCCATACATCTAATAAGGAATTAATATCCAAAATATATAAGAAACTCAAACAACTCAATGGTAAGAAATCAAATAACCCAACTTAAAAAAATGGGCAAAGTATCTGAATAAACATTTCTAAGAATAAGACAAATCACCAAAAGGTATATGAAAAAATGATTAGCATTACTAAACATCAGCTAAATAAAAATTAAAACTAGAATGAGATATCACCTCACACCTCTTAGAATGACCATTAACAGTCTGGGCATGGTGGCTCATGCCTGTAATTCAGGCACTTTGGGAGGCCGAGGCAGGGAGATTACCTGAGGTCAGCAGTTCGAAACCAGCCTGGCCAATATGGTGAAACCCCATCCCTACTAAAAATACAAAAATTAGCAGAGTTTGGTGGCGCACACTTGTAGTCCCAGCTACTCTGGAGACTGAGGCAGGGGAATCGCTTGAACCCAGGAGGCAGAGGTTGCAGTACACCGAGATTGTGCCACTGCACTCCAGCCTGGGTGACAGAGCAAGACTGAGTCTCAAAAAAAAAAAAAAAAAAAAGACCATTATCAAAAACATAAAAAATAACAAGGGTTAACGAGGATGTGGAGAAAAGGGAACATTTGTATGCAGTTGATGGGAATGTAAATTAGCATAACCATTATGGAAAACAGTCTGGAAGTTCCTGAAAAAATTAAACATAGAATTCCCATATGTGTCTGCAATCCAACTACTGCGCATGTATCCAAAGGAAGTGGAATCAGTATGTTGAAGAGATATCTGCATTCCCATGTTTACAGCCGCATTATTCATAACAGCCAAGATGTGGAATCACCCTTACTGCCCATCTATGGGTGCATGGACAAAGAAAACGTGGTATACGATAGGAACGTAATGAAGTACTATACAACCTTTACAACAAAGAAGGAAGTCCTCTCATTTGTGACAATGTGAAAAAACTTAGAGGACATTATGTTAAGGGAAACAATCCAGGCACAGAAAGACAAATGCCACATGATCTCATGTGTGGAGTGTAAGAAGTGGAACCTAGAGGAACAGTAAAATGGTCGTCGAAAGAACCTGGGATGGAGAGAGATTGAAGAGATGTTGGTCAAAGGATGCAAAATTTCAGTTAGAAGAAATCGGTTCAAGAGATCTATTGTATGTCTTGGTGACTCCAGTTAATAGCAACATATGGTGTATTGAACATTACTAAGAGATTAGATTTTACATGTTCTCACCACACACACAAAACATACAAGTATGTGAAAAAATAAATATGATAAAGAGGTTGTTTCATCCATTCCACAATGTGTACCTATATGAAAACATCATGATGGACACCACAAATACCCTTTTCCTCATTAATTAAATTTGTTTTGGTTTTTTTTTTGAGATGCAGTTTCACTGTTGTTGCCCAAGCTGAGGTGCAATGGCGTGATCTCCGCTCACTGCAACCTCTGCCTCCCAGGTTCAAGCGGTTCTCCTGACTCAGCCTCCCAAGCAGCTGGGACTACAGTTGCGTACCACCCCGTCCGGCTATATTTGTGTTTCTAGTAGAGACAGGGTTTCGCCATGTTGGCCAGGCTGGTCTCGAACTCCAGACCTCAGGTGATCCACCCGCTTCGCCCTCCCAAAGTGCTAGATTTCAGGCTGAGACACCACACCCAGCCTGTACATTGACTTTCTGCCCTTAAACTGTGCTGAAGTTTGTTTCTCAGATGTAGGAGCCTTTGGGCAGAGACTATGGGGTTTCTAGGTATAGAAATTATCTCATCTTCAAACAGAGGTAATTTGACTACCTCTCTCTGCTACTCTCTTCTTACTTGGATGCCTTATAATTCTTTCTCTTTCCTGATGGCTCTGTCTAGGACTTCAAGTACTATGTTGAATAGGATGGTGAGAGTGGGCATTCTTGTCTTGTTTCACTTATGAAGGGAACTTCTTCCAGCTTTTACTCATTCAGTATGATGTTGGTTGTGGGTTTGTCACAGGCGGCTCTTATTATATTGAGTTATGTTTCTTCAATGCTTAGCTTGTTGAGGGCTTTTAACATGAAGAAATTCTTAGTAAAAAGTATGTTCTACATGTGTGTTGAGAAGATCATGTGGTTTTTGTTTTTAGTTTTGTTTAGGTGATGAATCACATGTATTGATTGTGTATGTTCAACCAACCTTGCACCCTAAGAATAAAGTTGACTTGATCATGGTGGATTCACTTTTTGATATGCTGCGGGATTCAGTTCTTAGTATTTTTTGTGGATTTTTGCCTCTATGTTCATCAGGAATATTGGCATGTAGTTTTCTTTTGTTTAATGTTCTTTTCTGTCTTTAGTATCAGGGTGATGCCAGCCTTATAGAATGAGTAAAGGCCACCCTGGGCAAACAGTGAGACCCATCCCTTTTTAAAAATTATGAGTTTTACAAATTTAAAATGCATAGTGAAAAAGTTCTTACAAACTCCAGAAAGGTAGGTGTAAATAAGAGACATTTGTAAGAATGACAGCACATTAAATGTGTAGATTTCAACCTTCAGTTATTGCAATATTCCAGTATCAAGTTGGAGGATGTTATCAGTCTGATATTTTTTCCTCAAATGAGAGAGAGAAAGAAAGACACACAAACAACACAGGGAGAAAAAAAGCACACGTTACAGAGAGACAAAAAGGGAGACAGGGAACTGTGAATTTGGACTCTTGTGTCATAAGACAAATTCTAGATAACACGACCAGACCTTCAATTGACATATTGTGTTTTTGCTAATAAGGTGGAATTCTATGATGCGAAATAACTATATAGTCTTTTCTACTGGGATTTAAATCATTTTATCTGTTTCTGGCTTAACAGGAAAAATACAACCATGGAAAATTATGATGATTTATTTAATACGATTGCTCTATAGTGTTAATAAAACCTATTAGGTATTTTGCATATTACATATCAAGGAGAGTTTGAATCTCAGGTAGAAACAAAAAAAAATACATCAAAAGTTCCTCATGTGAGTGCAGAATTCAATCGTCCCGTGCAGGGGTAAGTGAGTCTGAGATGTGTTTTGAGCCTGGCCGTTGCGCATGATGTGAAGTGACAAGTCTAGTCTGCAGTTTTCAGAAACCCTCATTCCTCCCTTGACTGATTCACCACTTGAACCTCATATGACGTAGAAGAAGCCTACCTATGTCCCCTTCACATGTTGTGGTCAATGTGTCAACTGCACGATCCGGGCCCCTCACCACATCCTCTGCACCGGTCAGTCGAGCCGAGTCACTGCGTCCTGGCAGCAGAAGCTGCACCATGTCCATGTCACCCACGGTCATCATCCTGGCATGTCTTGGTGAGTCCTGGAAGGGAAGGAGCACCAGGGTTACACTATGGGCCTGCAGATTGGGTGTCTCCCCAGCAGAGAGCCATGTTCTGAAGCAAGTGAGTGGTGAGGATGAGTTAATTTTCAGTCCAGCGTGGCGCCCAGTGGCTCAGGAGGAAAGGGTAGGTTGGTGCCGAGATGAATAGTTCATCATGATCTTTCTTTGCAGGGTTCTTCTTGGACCAGAGTGTGTGGGCACACGTGGGTGAGTCCTTCCCCAAATGATGGGTTGCCATCTTCACCCCAATACAAGTGAATTTTCCGGAAATGGGAGGGAGGCAGCACAGAGGGTGGGCTGATGGGCTGACCATGGGAAGGCCTGGGGGGAGTCTCTCATGAACTAGTAAGAGGAGATCCTGGGAGTCTCTCATGAACTAGTAAGAGGAGATCTTGGGAGTCTCTCATGAACTAGTAAGAGGAGATCCTGGTATGCTCAGCCTTCTGTTTTGTCTTAGCCCTCCCCAGCCTTTCTTCCCCATGGCTGAGTTGAGCTCTGTGTGGCCCAGGCGGGATACTGAGGTGCTCAAAGCTGGGGTGTGTGGGGGGATGTGGTGTCACCGACAGAGGAGGGAAGGGTAGCAGTGTTAGGAACAGCAGGTCCTCTGAGGACAAGAGGGTAACTCACACCCTCCAGCGTTTCCATGACGGTAGGGGCTGCAGTGTGGCTGCTGTCATTCTGCCAGAAGAGGTGGGGGAACCACAGCCACGACCCTGCCATTCCAAATCCTCTGATGGAGCTCAGTTGTTTATTGTGGTTCAGGCATTAGCTAATATTCCATTCACAAAGGTCATACCCTCCACCCCATGTCTACTTTGTGTTGTTTGGTGTAACTAATCTTGCAGTATTAAAATCTAGTAAGAGTCCCTTACTCAGCACCTGCTCAGTTCTCAACTGACACTTTTGTTGTAGGGAGACGCCACGTCTATGCGGGATGGGTCCTTCCTGTAGCCCCAGGCACCCAGGTGTGGTAGGAGCCTTAGAAAGAAGAAATGGGGAGAATCTTCTGAGCACAGGGAGGGAGGGGCAGCTCAACATACTCCTCTCTGAGGCGGCATCTCCTTCTCCCCAAGGTGGTCAGGACAAGCCCTTCTGCTCTGCCTGGCCCAGCGCTGTGGTGCCTCAAGGAGGACACGTGACTCTTCGGTGTCACTATCGTCGTGGGTTTAACATCTTCACGCTGTACAAGAAAGATGGGGTCCCTGTCCCTGAGCTCTACAACAGAATATTCTGGAACAGTTTCCTCATTAGCCCTGTGACCCCAGCACACGCAGGGACCTACAGATGTCGAGGTTTTCACCCGCACTCCCCCACTGAGTGGTCGGCACCCAGCAACCCCCTGGTGATCATGGTCACAGGTCAGAGGGCTCCTGTCTGGGCTTCTCCTTGTCCCACCTCCTGAGTCCCAGAGCTTCTGGTGGGGGTGTCCACCAGAGTCCGATCATCCAGGCCCCAACTATATTTGGGGTAAAGGGGGATTGAATACAGGGGAATGGGTGCTGTGTTGGAAAGAATAACTGTCCCCATCGATGGCCACATTGTAATCCTTGGAGCCTGTGACTATGTTATAGGGCAGGGGACTGAAGGGGAAGATGGAGCTCAGGTTGTTGATGAGTTGACCTTGAGATGGGGAGATGGCCTGGACTCTCCCACTGGGCTCAGTGTAATCACAAGGGTCCATATGAGTGGAGAAGGAAGAGGAGAATGGGGATTAGAGCAGCATCGTGGGATACTCCACCAGCCACTGTGGGCTTTGAAGGTGGAGGAAGACCACGAGCCACGAAGGGGCTGGAGAAATCAATGGAACTGATTCTCCCGAGTCTCCAGAGGGAATGCAGCCCTGCAGATGCCTTGATTGTAGCCCAGGAAGAACAGGGTCTGATTTCTGTCTCCAGAAGTGGAAGGGGTCAGTGTGTTCTCTCCTGCCGCCATGTTTGTGATAATTTTCTCCAGCAACAACAGGAAACCAACACAGGAACCCAGGTGAAGGACAAGTTAAAAAACCAAACAAGAAGGTTGGCTACCCTGAGATCAGCAAGGGTGCACTGCTGATGCCACCACCAGGCTGGAACCACATAGGGAGGGATCGACAGGAAGAGTTAGGGGTGGAGGGTGAGAGAGAGAGAGAGAGCACTAGGCCATAGAGCAGGGCAGTGAGTTCTCAGCTCAGGTGGGAGGGGAGCTGTGACAAGGAAGAACCTCCCTGAGGAAACTGCCTCTTCTCCTTCCAGGTCTATATGAGAAACCTTCGCTTACAGCCCGGCCGGGCCCCACGGTTCGCGCAGGAGAGAACGTGACCTTGTCCTGCAGCTCCCAGAGCTCCTTTGACATCTACCATCTATCCAGGGAAGGGGAAGCCCATGAACTTAGGCTCCCTGCAGTGCCCAGCATCAATGGAACATTCCAGGCCGACTTCCCTCTGGGTCCTGCCACCCACGGAGAGACCTACAGATGCTTCGGCTCTTTCCATGGATCTCCCTACGAGTGGTCAGACCCGAGTGACCCACTGCCTGTTTCTGTCACAGGTGAGGAAAGCCAATGTCTGTCCCATGTCCTATGGTCCTAGAGCCTTAGCTGAGGAGCTTCCTGCTGATGATGGAGAGAAGCATGGACAGATGTGGAGAGAAGATGCAGCATGGTGTGAGGGTGGGATCAGGGCACAGGATGGCAGACAGGGCACCTCCAAACCCTCCTGCATGGCCTGCATGGAAGCTTGCAGTAAGGGCTCCGGGTACCCAGGCAGATGGAGAAAGTGGTCAGGACAGACCCAGAGGAGGGAGACTGGGCTCAGTTTGGGGAGATCAGAGGTTCCCTCAGCCCCTCAACCTTACCCATTTCCCAGAAGCCCACCCTGGCCTCTCACCTACACAGAGATGTCATCACCAGCAACCCCTACACTTTTTCTTTTCCTTTGAAAAAATGCTGATTGAGGTTAAATATACCTATATAATTTATCAACTTTACCATTTTTAAGTGTAAAATCTAGGGATCATAAATACCTTTATATGCTGTGTGCGGTGGCTCACGCCTGTAATCTCAGCATTTTGAGATGCCAAGGCAGGTGGATCATTTAAAATCAGGGGCTGGAGACCAGCCTGGCCAACATGGGGGAACCAATCTTTACTAAAAAGACAAAAAAAATAAAATTAGCCAGGCATGGTGCCAGGCGCCTATAATCCCAGCAACTTGGGAGGCTGAGGCGGGAGAGTGGCTTAAACCCAGGAGGAGGAGGTTGCAGTGAGCTGAGATCATGCCACTGCACTGCAGCCTGGTGACACAGAGAGACTCTGTCTCTAAATAAATAAATAAATACTTTTATATTCTTCTTTTGTTACCCTCCACCCCTTCCTTCCTAACCTCTGGTATCCACCATTCTACTCTCTACCTTCATGAGGTCCACCTTTTACATCCTGCATGTGAGTAAGAAATGGCAATCCTTGTAATGACCTCCAGTCCATCCATGTGGCTGCAAATGACAGGACGTTACTCTTTGTATGGATGAGTTGTCTCCATTGTGTGTATGTACTACATTCTCTCTATCCATTCATCCACTGATGGGCAGGTAGGTTGACTCCACATCTTGGCTACTGTGAACAGTGCTGGAACAGTCATGGGAGTGCAGATGTCACTTCAATACACTGAAGTCCTTTTCTTTGCATTTACACCCACTAGTGGAATTGCTAGATCCTCTGGATGTTCTCTTTTTAGGTTTTGTTTTATGCTTTTTGTTTTTTTGACATAGCGTTTCACTCTTGTTGCCCAAGCTGGAGTGCAATGGCACCACCTGGGCTCACTGCAACCTCTACCTCCAGGATTCAAGTGATTCTCCAGCCTCAGCCTCCCGAGTAGTTGGGATTACTGGTGCCCGCCACCACGCCTGGCTGATTTTTGTATTTTTAGTAGAGACGGGGTTTCACCATGTTAGCCAGGCTGGTCTCGAACTCTTGACCTCCAGTGATCTGCCCACTTCAGCCTCCCAAGGTGCCGGGATTACAAGCGTGAGCCACAGTGCCTAATCTCTTTTTAGTTTTTAAGGAACTTCCATATTCTTCTCCTCTGTAATGGCTGTATTAATTTACATTCCTATCAACAGTGTATCAGGGTTCTCCTTTCTCCACCACCTTGCCAACATTTGTTTTGTCTGTCTCTGAGATAAAACCCATTGTAATGGGGTGAGATGATAGCTCATTGTGACTTCATTTGCATTTCTCTGATGATTAGTGATACTGAGCACTTTTTCATATATGCAATGTATATATGTTCATTTGTATGTTTTGTTCATTGAGAAATGTCTGTTCAGGTCTTTTACTAATTTTATAATTAAATTATTAGTTTTATTGAGGTGTTTGAGCTTCTTTTATATTCTAGTTATTAATCCCATCTCAGATGCATAGTTTGCAAATATTTGCTCCCATTCTGTGGGTTGTCTCTTCTTCACTTCATTGGTTGCTTCCTTTGCGGTGCAGAAGCTGCTTGATTTGATATAATCCCAATGGTCTATTTTTTTGTTGTTGTTGTGATTACTTGTGTTTTTGAGGTTTTAAACAAAATGTCTTCCCTCAGACAAATGTCCTGGAGCATTTCTCCAGTGTTTCCTTTTAGACATTTAATGGATTCAGGTCTTAAGTCATTAATCCATTTTCATCTGATTTTTGTGTATGGTGAGAGGTAGAGGTGCAGTTTCATCCCTCTGCATGTAGATATCCAGTTTTCCCTGCACCATTTATTGAAATGACTGTCCTTTCCAGATTGTAGATTCTTCGAACCTTTGTCAAAGTCCATTGGATGTAAATGGGTGGATTACATCCGTGTTCTTCATTCTGCTCCATTGTTTTATGTGCTTTTCTTTATGCCAATGTCATGTTGTTTTGCTTACTACAGCTCTGTAACATATTTTTAAGTCAGGTAGTGTGATGCTCCTGTTTTCTCCTTATACCTTGAAGTCTCAAGATAGTTGGTGTCACCTACAATGATTATGGAGAATGGGATGCCAGGACTCCCAGGGCCCAACATTAGATAATAGAATGTTGGCCATGAACCAACCTCAAAGATTTCCATTGAGTAGAAGACAGGCATCCTCATTGCCACACCTCTCTCCTGTCCCATGTTCTAGGAAACCCTTCTAGTAGTTGGCCTTCACCCACTGAACCAAGCTTCAAAACTGGTAAGTGAAGGACCCCTCTTATCTCTGCTTTTGGAAACCTGGGGAGGTAGAAGCCTTGGATTCAAGCGTTGGCTCAGCACCTGCCAGCTCTGTGATTGTGGGCCTGTCTTCCATTGTCTCTGAACCCCAGACACTCCAACAGCGAAAGGGATCTGGGCCCAGCACAGGGCTCAGTGAAATCTCTTAATCTCTAATTTTCTGCTGCTGAGACCTCAGGGTAGAAGGATGAGTGCAAATCAGACATTCTTCTCAGGAAAAATGCTGTGTTTGTTCTGCCTGCATTCCTAACTGGGAGGACAAATGCCTGGGGGCTTGAGAAGGGGAAGGAAGGGGAACATTTTTGAGGGTGGTGTATTTGTAGAGAAGTTCTACTTGCCAAGGAATGAGCTCCTGTCTGTCATGATCCAACCCTGGTTGACTTAGTGGAACAAGAGCTTTGCGGTAAGAGAGAACGTAGTTCATCCGTGCACATGACACTTCCACTTACTCGTTCAGCCACTGCCCCATGCTCAGACTGTGCAGTGTGGAACCTTTTCCTATGTTGCCATAACAAATTTCCACAAGCTTCGTGGATGGAAACCACATTTTTAAAAAATATCTCATGGTGCTGTAGCTCAGAAGTATGAAATGCATCATCTCACTGGGCTAAAATCAAGGTGACAGCAAGGCTGCCTTCCCTCTGAATGTTCCAGGCAAGAATCTGCTTCCTCACTTTTCCCAGCTCCTAGAGGCTCCCACATTCCTTGGCTCCTGGTCCCCGTCTTCCTCCCTCAAAGTCCACAAAGGCTGGTCACGCCTCTCACACGGCATCACTCAGACCCTTCTTCCTTGTCCACACCTCTTTCTCTGAATGCTGCTCTGCCTTCTTCCTCATCTTTTAAGGACTTTGGCATTCTATTGGAAACACCAAGATAATCCATCATAATTTCCCTAAAATCATCTAGGATACCCTCCTTTTAAGGTTAGCTGATTAGCAACCGTAATTCCATCTGCAATCTGCATTCCTTTTTTCCATGTAAAATAACATATTCACAAGATATGGCGACTAGGACAGGAATATTTTGGGGTGGGGCGGCATTCTTATCCTTTCCACAAATGGTAAACAAGGTGCATTTGGCCTCTGCTCTTGGACACTGATATTGCAAAGGATTAAATGGGAGGGCAGAAAATGAATGCACCAGTGGACCAATAAATGAATGATCCATTGGGAAGCATCTGTGCATGAGAATGATTGATTGATTGGTGTTTTTATGAGACGGTGTCTCCTTCTGTGCCCCAGGCTGGAGTGCAGTGGCGGGATCTCGGCTCACCGCAACCTCCACCTCCCAGGTTAAAGCGATTCTCTACACTCAGCTTCCCGAGAGGCTGGGATTACACCCATGTCCCACCACGCCTGGCTAATTTTTTTTTTGGTATTTTTTTTTAGTACAGACAAGGTTTTACCATGTTGCCCAGGCTATCTCAAACTCCCAACCTTAAGGGATCCGCCCGTCTCAGCCTCCCAAAGTGCTGAGATTAGAGGCGTGAGCCAAGGCGCCGAGCCGTATTTTAAAAGAAATAATAGATAATGCTGAGTGTATAATTTCGGGTGACAGAGAAGTTCTCACTGATCAAATAATACTTGTGACCTTAATGAAAAAAATAGATCAACCCCTGGAAGATTGGCGGAAGGATTTTCCACACAGCTGTCAGCCGTGAAGGCACAAAGGTGAAAACAATGTTATGTGGAAGGAAGAGGCTCTGCCTCAAATGCTGGGAATGAGGTGGGGAGAATGACAAGACGACTGTGGAGAGACAGAGAGCACTCTGGGTACACAGGAAACTAAGGAGGAACAAGGAGCGTGTGTTTGACACTCACAGCCCTTGGACTTACCTCGGGGCTAACTGGGAATCCCTACATGATGAATAGTGACTGACATGAAAATAAGGGAGGCCCAGGTGCATAACTGGAATCTAGGAGACTGTGGAAAAGGCAATTCCCGCCCCCCTGGTGAAATGTGGTGCTGATTTAGACACTAAATGAATGAAAGATGGACACAAGATGTGTTTGTGAGGTAGAGTAATTTGCAGGGAGGGCTTGCCTGGTTTGATTTTTCCTAATTGTTTAATCTTCACTTCATTGATTTCTTTCTGAGATTTATTTTTCCTACATGTAAATCAATACTTGGCAGAGGAGTGAGAGATACATGAGGGGTGGTGCAAAGGAAGAGACCTATTATAATATAACACACAAGGTTCTGAACGGTGGCTCACACCTGTAACCCAACATTTTGGGAGGCTGAGGAGGCTGGATCAAGTGAGATCAGGAGTTCGAGATCAGCCTGGACAACATGGTGAAACCCCATCTCTACTAAATATACAAAAACTAGCTGGGGGTGGTGGCGCATGCCTGTAATACCAGCTATTCGGGAAGTTGAAGAAGGAGAATGGCTTCAACCAGGGAGGGAGAGGTTACAGTGAGCCAAGATCGCGTCATTGCACTGCACCCTAGGTGACAGAGTGAGACTCCATGGCAAAAAATAAAAATAAAGAATACATAAATATAATATAACATACACGAATGACAAAGGCACACCAATTCCAATCATCATTTTTCTATTTCTCTATAATGACTTCTTTGATCCTTTATCCTATCCGTAAGAAAATCAGGCGAAAACATCTTCCTTATTTGGCTTTCTGTGAGCATGAGATCATATGGAAAATGTGAAACCCACCAGCACAGGTCCTGGAATAGAGAACGTGATCTGTTCATGGGACAAAACTTGCCCCTTCACCCAAATCCCCCACCTCACCCCTACTTCCAATCACATTAATGATACAGATAGATCATGGGGAGGTAAAAACTAATATTCTTTGGAGTTCAGATCGTAGACTCAGAGACCAGTGCCAGCACTATCTCCTGGTCACCTTTTGGAGTAATTCACAGAAAGACAGGCTGTATTGAAGCAACAGATGATGGAGGGGGTGGTCTTTCCCCCAGACTCTCGGGTGGAACAGCAGCCTAATATCTGACTCCCAAGATGACAAAAGTAGCATGTTGCCCACGAGCTTCATCATTATTTCCTGGCTGTTTGATATAAGACAGCTCAACCTCACTTATGTTGATTTCAATGTCACTGTTTTTTCCTTTTCTTGGAGAATGTAATTTGTTTGAGTCAAGAGGGTTGTGGATGTAGAAACTGTAAAGCACATTCACTGTGTATCAATCCCAGTCCAGTCTTCCCAGAGAAGACTCTAAACACCTCCCATACTGCACCTGGGGCTGTGCCAATTTCTATCACTCACCATCACTCCAGGGAGACAGAACACACAGGGAATACATTACATAGGCAGGTTCATTACTTATAGATAAGCAGCGAGTGACAACAGAAACCTTCCTTTCAGGGTGAGCCAGTCCCTCAAGGCTCAGAAAAACTGCTCAGGACACATGGAGTCACTTCATGTGCACTGTAGCTGGGGGAAGCCAGAAAGCAGCCCAGCCTGGGTTTTGTACCCTGGAGCCACAGGGAACACTCAGCTAAAGCACTGCATGATGTTCTCCTCCAGGAAGAACAGGAAGACAGCCCAGGCTGTTCTGAGACGTTCCTCCTGATCTCAGGATGTTGCTGTCTTAGCCTATTTTTGTTGCTATAAAAGAACACTTGAGCCTGGGTATCTTCTAAAGAAAAGAGATGTGTTTGGCTCACTGATCTGCACGCTGTACTAGAAGCAGGACACTACCATCTATTTCTGGCTGCGGCCTCAGGCTGCTCCCACACTGACAGAAGAGAAGGGGGTCCTGCGTGTGCAGAGACCACAGAGATCACATGGCAAGAGAGGGAGAAAGGGGGTGTGATGGAGCTTCCAAGCTCTTTTTAAGAATCAACTCTCCAGGGTACTAATAGAGGGAGAACTTGCTAACCCCGTCCTCTGGGGACAGCATTAATCTATTCATGATGGATCCACCCCCATGACCAAAACACCCCTCCCAATAGGCACAACCTCCCACACTGGGGATTAAATTTCAAAGTGGGGTTTGGAGGGGTCAAACATTGAAACAATAGCAGTTGTATCATCAGCACATTCTATTGTTATTATGAAAACTATAACGGAGAAAGCAGGAGAAAGCTGGGTCTCCCGCCTCGTGGGTGCTTGTCTTAAAGAGGTGTTTTATGTGGTTGCCTGGCAACCAAGAAATGAGAGACAATCCACAAAGAGGAACTGCTATGGTTAGCTTCTTATTGGATTCCCATCTTCCTCCAGGTATCGCCAGACACCTGCATGCTGTGATTAGGTACTCAGTGGCCATCATCCTCTTTACCATCCTTCCCTTCTTTCTCCTTCATCGCTGGTGCTCCAAAAAAAAAGTAAGCCTCACGAAGCAGAGGCCAGAGAACTCAGGGCCCTGTGCGGAAGCAGGATGGGAGCACGCAGGTGTGTGTTCCTCACTGGCAGGAAAGTCTCTGGCCCAAGGCAGGAGCCAGAGGCAGAGCTTTCTAGAGAGAGCACCAGACACCCTGCCCCTGCCTTCAGCTCACAGACCGTTGCCTGATTGTGAACTGTATCCTCACGTCCCCTGCAGCCACTCACATCCAGGAGAAGATTCCATGACAGGCAGAAAGTGGGAGATAGAATCAATGGGATGGGAACTGACAGCTATTCATGGAATGGGGTCTTGCACTCAGAGAGATGGAATGTCTGAGTCTGGCTGTTGGCAGCTGAGGGACCTCAGGCACCTATGGCCTCCCCCTGTGTGTTGGTATCTGTTCATGAAATGAGGACCCAGAAGTGCCCTCCCAGCTGTTTTGATTGCTTCCGTCTCCTACAGATGCTGCTGTAATGAACCAAGAGCCTGCGGGACACAGAACAGTGAACAGGGAGGTAGGTCCTCCTAGCCCAGCCTCATGGATACAGTCTTATTCCGAAATAGTCCTGAAAAATGTGAACACCCTCCCTCACTCAGGATTTCCCTCTCTCCAGGACTCTGATGAACAAGACCCTCAGGAGGTGACATACGCACAGTTGGATCACTGCATTTTCACACAGAGAAAAATCACTGGCCCTTCTCAGAGGAGCAAGAGACCCTCAACAGATACCAGCGTGTGTATAGAACTTCCAAATGCTGAGCCCAGAGCGTTGTCTCCTGCCCATGAGCACCACAGTCAGGCCTTGATGGGATCTTCTAGGGAGACAACAGCCCTGTCTCAAACCCAGCTTGCCAGCTCTAATGTACCAGCAGCTGGAATCTGAAGGCGTGAGTCTCCATCTTAGAGCATCACTCTTCCTCACACCACAAATCTGGTGCCTGTCTCTTGCTTACCAATGTCTAAGGTCCCCACTGCCTGCTGCAGAGAAAACACACTCCTTTGCTTAGCCCACAATTCTCTATTTCACTTGACCCCTGCCCACCTCTCCAACCTAACTGGCTTACTTCCTAGTCTACTTGAGGCTGCAATCACACTGAGGAACTCACAATTCCAAACATACAAGAGGCTCTCTCTTAACACGGCACTTAGACACGTGCTGTTCCACCTTCCCTCGTGCTGTTCCACCTTTCCTCAGACTATTTTTCAGCCTTCTGGCATCAGCAAACCTTATAAAATTTTTTTGATTTCAGTGTAGTTCTCTCCTCTTCAAATAAACATGTCTGCCTTCATTCTTTAGGTGACTCTTTTTTTGGCTGAAAGTTTCCAGTGTTATCATTACCATGTCCAAATAACTCCAACTGTTCTCCACTGGGTTCTCACCCCTGGACTCGGAGCTTCTGGAAGCAGGGTGGAGCCTGATTTGTCTCTGAGACTCCAATTTCCATCCAAAGATGCAGCACATAAGAGGTTCCAAGGATCGTGAATCACATGAACAAGTGATATTCTTACTCTCTGCAGACCTGGAAAGCTGGCAGAGTCATTCCATGATGAAACATTTGTAGAGTCATAGGCCTTGTTAGTCTCATCTCCACGGGGACACATATCAACACATCATCTTTCATACTATAAATATACAGTCGGTCCTCTGTATCTGTGGGATTTACAGGTGTTTATTGAACCAAATATAAATCAAAAATATTCAGAGAAAAAATCCACAAAGTTTCAAAAAGCAAAACTATGTTGAATGGACACAAATGAAGCTGTGTGTAGGCTGTATCAGGAATTATAAATAATCAAGGGATGATTTCATGTACACAGGAGGATGTGCATGGGTTATTTGCAAATGCTGTGCCATTTCATGTAAGAGGCTTGAGCGTCTGCAGATTGTGCTATCTGAGTGGAGATCCTGAAACCAATCACCCACGAATAGTGAGGGATGACTGTATATAATTTTTATTTCTCAATTTTAAATATAAAACATAAAAAAATTACAATAACAAGATAAAATAAACAAGTGTTTTATAGTGTGAGAATACGTTTAGATATATTTTTCTCTATGTGTAACCCTTGGGCCCATGTTATTTATTGAGAAGACATTCTATTCCACCTTAAACCACATGGCAGCCTTTGTCAACTATAAAGGGACTGTGTGTACACGGATGTATTTTAGACACTGTTTTCTGCTCAGTGGCTCTCTCTCTGTCCACTCTCTTGAGAATGCTGCATTTTATGCAGCCTTATACAACCCCTAAAATTTGGTAGCTGGAGTCCTCTAGTTATTTATTATAGGCTATTTGCTATGCTTTTTTTATTTTTCTTGAGGCAGAGTCTCGCTCTGTTGCCCAGGCTGGAGTGCAGTGGCACGATCTCGGCTCACTGCAACTTCCGCCTCCCAGGTTCAAGGGATTCCGTGCCTCAGCCTCTTGAATAGCTGGCATTACAAGTGCCTGCTACCAGGCATGGCTAATTTTTGTATTTTTAGCAGAGACATGGTTTCACTATATTGGCCAGGCTGGTCTCAAACTCCTGACCTCGGTTGATCACTCACCTCGGCTTCCAAAGTGCTGGGGAAATTGATTTTCTATAGCATTATGTTACTGGATATTTCTGTAAAAATTAAAATGAGGGAGGCAGAGAGACAGAGAGAGAGCAAACCATGAGTTGGAACTCTGGAATCTTGGGACATGAGACAAATTCTAGATAAATCTACAAAAATCCAGAATTTACATGTTGTGATTTTTGCTGATAAAGTACAATTCTAAGATTGTAAATAATTGCATAATCCTTCCCTGGGAGTTTAAATCATTTGAACTGGTTCTGCTGTAATACTAGAAATACAATCATGAAAAATTCTAATGGTTTATTGTCACAATTGCTCTGAAAACCTTAATAATACCTATTAGATATTTTGCATATTACACAGGAAGAAGAGTTTGAATCTCAGATAAAAACAATAAAAATACATGAAAAGTCTTTCATGTTAGCACAGATTTTAGGCATCTCGTGTTCGGGAGGTTGGATCTGAGACGTGTTTTGAGTTGGTCATAGTGAAGGACGCGAGGTGTCAATTCTAGTGAGAGCAATTTCCAGGAAGCCATGTTCCGCTCTTGAGCGAGCACCCACTGGGCCTCATGCAAGGTAGAAAGAGCCTGCGTACGTCACCCTCCCATGATGTGGTCAACATGTAAACTGCATGGGCAGGGCGCCAAATAACATCCTGTGCGCTGCTGAGCTGAGCTGGGGCGCAGCCGCCTGTCTGCACCGGCAGCACCATGTCGCTCATGGTCGTCAGCATGGCGTGTGTTGGTGAGTCCTGGAAGGGAATCGAGGGAGGGAGTGCGGGGATGGAGATCTGGACCTGGAGGTAAAGATATGGGCCTAGAGGTGGAGTTATGGGCCTAGAGGTGGAGTTATGGGCCTGAAGTGGAGATCTGGGCCTGGAGTGGAGATCTGGGCCTGGAGTGGAGATCTGGGCCTGGAGTGGAGATAGGGGCCTGGGGTGGAGATATGTGCCTGGAGTGGAGATCTGGGCCTGGAGTGGAGATATGGGCCTGGGGTGGAGATATGTGCCTGGGGTGGAGAGATGGGCCTGGAGGGGAGATATGGGCCTGGAGGGGAGATGTGGGCCTAGAGGTGGAGTGATGGGCCTAGAAGTGGAGCGATGGGCCTGGAGTGGAGATATGGGCCTGGAGGTGGAGTTAGGGGCCTGCAGTAGAGATATGGGCCTGAAGTGGAGATATGGGCCTGGAGTGGAGATATGGGCCTAGAGGTGGAGTTATGGGCCCGGAGGTGGAGTTAAGGGCATGAAGTGGAGATCTGGGCCTGGAGTGGAGATATGATCCTGGAGTGGAGATATGGGCCTGGGGTGGAGATACGGGCCTGGAGCAGACATACAAGCCTGGAAAGGAGATATGGGCCTGGAGAGGAGATAGAAGCCTGGAGTGGAAATATGGGCCTGGAGTGGAGATATGAGCCTGGAGTGGATATATGAGCCTGGAGTTGAGATAGGAGCCTGGAGTGGAGATATGGGCCTGGAGTGGACTTACCAGCCTGGAGAGGAGATATGGGCCTGGAGTGGAGATACGGACCTGGAGTGGAGATCTGGGCCTGTTGTGTAGATCTAGGCCTGGAGGTAGAGATCTGGGCCTGGAGGCTCAGTCTCTGCACAGCCGAGATCCTTGTTCCTGGGGGCAGGTAGGCAGCGAGGGTGAGTTTACCTTCAGCCCAGCAAGGGCCTGGCTGCCAAGACGCACAGCCCAGTGGGGGCAGCAGGGTGCCCTGGTTTGCCTGCAGATGGATGGTCCATCATGATCTTTCTTTCTAGGGTTGTTCTTGGTCCAGAGGGCCGGTCCACACATGGGTGAGTCCTTCCCCAAACCTTAGGGTGTCATCTCCCCACATAAGAGGATTTTCCTGAAATGGGAGGGAAGTCCTGTCGGGGAGTCTCTCATACACTAGGAAGAGGGGACCCTCGGATGCTCGGCCCACATTTCTGACCTTGCCTTCCCCGGCCTTTCATTCCCTTTCCTGAGTCAAGCTCTGTGAAGACTGGGGTGAGACTAGGGTGCTCCAAGATGGGTGTGCAGGGAGGAAGTGGTGTCAGCAGCAGAGAAAGAGAGGGAAGCAGTGCTAGGAACAGCAGGTCCTCTGAGGACAAAGGTGTAACTCACACCCTCCAGCGTTTCCGTGATGGTAGGGGCTGCAGTGTGGCTGCGGTCTTTCTACCAGAAAAGGTGAGGAAACCACAGCCATGGCCCTGACATTCCAAATCCTCTGATGGGGGCTCAGTTCATCAATTGGCTGATATTCCATTCACATAGGACTTGCCCTCCATGCCGTGTCTACTTTGTGTTGTTTTATATGAGTAATTTTGCAGTATTAAAATCTAGTAAGAGTTGCTTCTCCAGCAACTTGCTCAAAGTTCTCAGCTGACACTTGTTGTAGGGAGACGCCAAGTCTATGCAGGATGGGTCCTTCCTGTAGCCCTGGGCACCCAGGTGTGGTAGGAGCCTTAGAAAGTGGAAATGGGGAGAATCTTCTGGGCACTGGGAGTGAGGGGCGGCTCCACATCCTCCTCTCTAAGGCAGTGCCTCCTTCTCCCCCAGGTGGTCAGGACAAACCCTTCCTGTCTGCCTGGCCCAGCGCTGTGGTGCCTCGAGGAGGACACGTGACTCTTCGGTGTCACTATCATCATAGGTTTAACAATTTCATGCTATACAAAGAAGACGGAATCCACATTCCCATCTTCCATGGCAGAATATTCCAGGAGAGCTTCAACATGAGCCCTGTGACCACAGCACATGCAGGGAACTACACATGTCGGGGTTCACACCCACACTCCCCCACTGGGTGGTTGGCACCCAGCAACCCCGTGGTGATCATGGTCACAGGTCAGAGGCTTTCCGTCTGGGCTTCTCACTGTCCCACCTCCTGAATCCCAGAGCTTCTGGTGGGGGTGTCCGTCAGGGTCCCATCACCCAGGCCCTGACTGTATTTGGGGTCAAGGGAGATTGAATACAGGGGAAATGGGTGCTGTGGTGGGAAGAATCACTGTCCCCAATGATGGCTACATTGTAATCCCTGGAGCCTGTGACTATTTATGTTACAGGGCAGGGGACTGAAGGGGAAGGTGGAGCTCAGGTTGTTGATGAGTTGACCTTGAGATGGGGAGACAGCCTGGACTGTCCCACTGGGCTCAGTGTAATCACAAGGGTCCACATGAGAGGTGGAGGAAGAGGGGAGTGGGGATTAGAGCAGTGTAGTGGGAGGGAGACGCTATCAGCCACTGCGGGCTTTGAAGGTGGAGAAAGACCACTAGTCACAGAATGCAGGTGGCCTCTAAGGGCTGGAGAAGTCAAGAGAACTGATTCGCTGATTCTCCAGAGGGAACGCAGCCCTGTAGACACCTTGATTTCAGCACAGGGAGAACTGGATCCAATTTCTGTCTCCAGAAGTGGAAGGGGTCAGTGTGTTCTCTCCCGCTGCCATGTTTGTGGTAATTTTCTGCAGCAGCAACAGGAAACCAACACAGGAACCCAGGTCAAGGACAAGTTAGGAAACCAAACAAGGATAGCCAGATGTGGTGGTGGGCGCGAGTAATCCAACGACTGGGGAGGCTGAGGCAAGAGAATCACTTGAACTGGGGATTTGTTCAAAAGAGATTGATTCAGGCTGCTAAGAGCCTGGACATGCAGCCTGTCCTCTTCCACCCCCACATAGACAGCAGGAAAGAGATTAGTGGGAAACAGATACAACAGCCCAAGAGATGAGGCTGTCTTCACAGTGGCAAGGGAGTCAGGGGCTACTGGAGACAGAGGGACAGAGAAGAGGGAGGAAGACAGATGGAGGCACCTGCACCAGGGGATATGGGCACAGAAAAGACACGGAGATGCAGAGAGGGAGGAGAGAGACAGACACGGGGAGGGGAACCCTCACTCATTCCAGGTGCCATGGATGGGATGATAAAGAGAGATGCCTTCTAAACTCACAACTTCTCTTTCTAGGAAACCACAGAAAACCTTCCCTCCTGGCCCACCCAGGTCCCCTGGTGAAATCAGGAGAGAGAGTCATCCTGCAATGTTGGTCAGATATCATGTTTGAGCACTTCTTTCTGCACAAAGAGGGGATCTCTAAGGACCCCTCACGCCTCGTTGGACAGATCCATGATGGGGTCTCCAAGGCCAATTTCTCCATCGGTCCCATGATGCTTGCCCTTGCAGGGACCTACAGATGCTACGGTTCTGTTACTCACACCTCCTATCAGTTGTCAGCTCCCAGTGATCCCCTGGACATCGTGGTCACAGGTGAGAGTGTCTAGACATTGTTCTCATTGTCACTGGGACACAGAGTGAATGATCCAGGACTTGGAACCCCCAGGTGGTCATGAGGAAGATAAGTGTGGGATTCTTACGGAAAGAGAGTGACTTGGTGAGGTCTGTACCAACAGAGACAGAGAAACAGCAGACATAAGTACAGAACAGGTGTCATAACAGAGGACAGACACAGGGGCCATACAGGGAGGTAGAAAAGAGAGAAAGAGGTAAAGGAGACACTCAGACAGACAGACATGTCCCAGAGAGAGGTGTCCTTCCATGCTGACTTTGCTCAGAGACCTGGCACAGGTTAGAAGTTTCATTTCTGTTTTACCTCCACAAAGTGTTCCTACCAGAAGAACCCAAGGACACCCATATTTCTGACCTGAGTTGGGCCCTGTGGCCTCAGGCCTTGTGCCACCTACAGATGCCGTGTTTATTCTGACACCTCTGCCTTCCATGCAATGGAGAGTAATCATCCCAGGATATCATGGCCCCTGAACACCAACCCCTGTATGCTGTGTGAACTTGGGGTCCCCAGACTGGATTCTGAGGCTCATATTCCAAATAATCCCACATATGATAGGATCGCTGAGAGACACAGAGAAAAATCAGGGACACCAAAAAGCAAAGACATAAACACACACAAAATGAGCCAGAAGAAGGAGATTAAGAGATTCACAGACACATAAAAAGAAAGAAAAGAGGGCAGAGTGGAGAGAATGATGGAAAGGAGGAGAGAAAAGCCCCAAAATCAGAACCCTGAGGGAGGGACACAAAGACAGAGAAAGATAAATATGTGGGGATGGATTGCAGAGATTCCAAATAGAACTAGAGAGACTGAGAGGCAGAGAAAGACAAGGAGACGGAGAGAGAGAGATGATAGATGGATAGATAGACGTAGATAGATGATAAATAGGTAGATGATAGATAATGGATTGGTTATAGATACATAGATGATGACTGATAGATGATACATAGAGATGACGATGATGATGATAGACACATAGATATATACATAGATGATACATAAATAGAGACAGAGAGGCAGACAGAGAGGTAATAGAGAGAGAGATAGATGATACATATATAGATAATAGATGATTGATGGATAGATAGACAGACAGACAATTGATAGAGAGATAGATAAGTGATACATAAATATAGATGATAGATAATTTGTAGATAGACACAAAATAGATAAATAGATAGAAATGTGCAGAAAGTTATGAACAAGACAGAAAGTGAGAGACTCAAAATTAAAGAAAAAGGAAGATCAAGTCAACCAATCCAAGGAGGGTCAGAGAGAATAAAACAATCCAAAAAGGGAAAACATACCTCAGGGTGGGGAATTGAGGTCATAGACCTAGAGAGACAGAAAAGGTAGAAGGAGGAAACAGATATGAAGAGAGATGGGGTGGAGGGTGAGAGAGAGAGAGAGAGCATTAGGTCATAGAGCAGGGGAGTGAGTTCTCAGCTCAGGTATGAGGGGAGCTATGACAAGGAAGAACCTCCCTGAGGAAACTGCCTCTTCTCCTTCCAGGTCCATATGAGAAACCTTCTCTCTCAGCCCAGCCGGGCCCCAAGGTTCAGGCAGGAGAGAGCGTGACCTTGTCCTGTAGCTCCCGGAGCTCCTATGACATGTACCATCTATCCAGGGAGGGGGGAGCCCATGAACGTAGGCTCCCTGCAGTGCGCAAGGTCAACAGAACATTCCAGGCAGATTTCCCTCTGGGCCCTGCCACCCACGGAGGGACCTACAGATGCTTTGGCTCTTTCCGTCACTCTCCCTACGAGTTGTCAGACCCGAGTGACCCACTGCTTGTTTCTGTCACAGGTGAGAAAAGCCCATATCTCTCTCATGTCCTATGATCCTAAATCCTTAGCTAAGGAGCTTCCTGCTGATGATGGAGAAAAGCATGGACAGATGCAGAGAGAAGACACAGCAGGTGTGAGGGCGGAGTCAGGGCGCAGGATGGCAGACAGGGCACCTCCAAACCCTCCTTCATGGCCTGCATGGAGGCCTCCGATCAGGGCTCCAGGCACCCAGGCAGATGGAGAAAGCGGTCAGGACAGACCCAGAGAAGGGGAGACTGGGCTTAGTTTGGGGAGATCAGAGGTTCCCTCAGCCCCTCAATCTTATCCATTTCCCAGAAGCCCATCATGGCCTCTCACCCACACAGAGAGATGTCATCACCAGCAACCCCTACACCCTTTTCTTTTCATTTTCAAAAATATTTATTGAGGTTAAATGTAACTATATAATTTACCAACTTTACCATTTTTAAAAGTAAAATCTAGTGGTCATAAATACCTTTATATGCTGGGTGTGGTGGTTCACGGTTGTAATCTCGGCGCTTTGAGAGGCCAAGGAAGGTGGATCATTTAAGATCAGGAACTCGAGATCACCCTGGCCAACATGTGGGAAATTCATCTTTACTAAACAGACAAGAAAAATTAGCCGAGCATGCCGGCATGCACCTGTAGTCCTAGCTACTTGGGAGGCTGAGGCAGGAGAAGCACTTAAAGCCAGGAGGCAGAGGTTGCACTGAGCCGAGATCATGCCACTGCACTGCAGCCTGGGAGACAGAGAGAGACTCTGTTTCTAAATAAATAAATACATCTATATTCTTTTTTTTGTTACCCTCCACCCTTCCCTTCCTGGCCTCTGGTGTCCACCATTGTATTCTCCACCTTCATGAGATCCACCTTTTATCTCCTTCATGTGGTGAGAAATGGGAATCTTTGTAATGACCTCCAGTTCCATCCATGTGGCTGCAAATGACAGGATGTTATTGTTTCTATGGATGAGTAGTCTCCACTGTGTGTGTGTACTACAGTTCTCTATCCATTCACCCACTGATAGGCAGGTAGGTTGACTCCACATCTTGGCTACTGTGAACAGTGCTGGAACAGTCATATGAGTGCAGATATCACTTCGATACACTGATGTCCTTTCCTTTGGATATAAACCCAGTAGTGAAATTGCTGGACACTATGAAAGTTCTCTTTTTTTTTTTTTCCTTTTTTGAGAAAGAGTTTCCCTCCTTAGTCCAAGCTGGAGTCTAAGTGGTGAGATCTTGGCTCATTGCAACCTGTGCCTCCTAGGTTCAAATGATTGTCCTGACTCAGCCTCCCTAGTAGCTGTGATTACAGGTGCACGCCACCATGCCTGGCTAATTTTTGTATTTTTTTAGCACAGACGGGATATCCCAATTTTGGGCAGGCTGCTCTCAAACTCCTGACCTCAAGTGAGGTGCCTGCCTCGGTTTCCCAAAGTGCTGAAGTTACAGGCATAAGCCACTATGCCCAGCCTCCTTTTAGTTTTTTAAAGAATTTCCATACTTTTCTCCATAATAGTTGTACTAATTTACATTCCTACCAACAGGGTACCAGGGTTCTCCTTTCTCTACCATCTTGCCAGCATTTGTTTTGCCTGTCTTGCAGTAAAAGCCATTTTACTTTACTTCATTTTATTTATTTATTTATGTTGAGATGGAGTTTCACTCATAGTCGCCCAGGCTGGAGTGCAAGGGTGTGATCTCAGCTCACTGCAACCTCCGCCTCCCGCGTTCAACTGATTCTCCTGCCTCAGCCTCCAAAGTAGCTGGGATTACAGGCATGTGCCACCACGCCTAGCTAATTTTTGTATGTTTAGTAGAGAGGGAGTTTCTCCATGATGGTCAGGCTGGTCTCCCGACCTCAGGTGATCCGCCCACCTCCGCCTCCTGAAGTGCCGGAATTACAGGCGTGAGCCACCGGCCTAAAAGGCATTTTAATGGGATGAGATGAAAACTCATCGCGATTGTAATTTACATTTCTCTGATGATGAGTGATGCCGAGTACTTTTTCATATACGTGATCGCCATTTCTATGTTTTGTTTGTGGAGAAATGTCTCCTCATGTCTTTTGCTCTTTTTTTGAATTAAATTGTTTTATTGAGTTGTTTGAGCTTCTTATATTTCCAGTTATTAATCCCGTCTCAGATGAATAGTTTGCAAATATTTGCTCCTATTTTGTCGGTTGTCTCTTCACTTTCTTGGTTTATCTTTTGTGGTGCAGAAGTTGCTTGGTTTGATGTAATCCTAATGGTCTATTTTTTGCTTTGATTACTTGTGTTTTGAAGGTTTTAAACAAAATGTCTTTCGTCAGACAAATGTCTTCCCCATTATTTTCTTCTACATGTTTCATAGGTTCAGGCCTTAGACTCATGTTTTTAATCCATTTTCATTTGATTTTTGTGTAAGGTGACAGGTATAGATGCAGTTTTATTCCTCTGCATGTAGATATCCAGTTTTCCCCACACCATTTATTGAAAAGACTGTCCTTTCCTGATTGTAAGTTCTCGGCACCTTTGTCAAAGTCCATTAAATGGGCTGGGTATGGTGGCTCACACCTGCAATTCCAGCACTTTGGGAGGCCGAGGCGGATGGATCACCTGAAGCCAGGAGTTCAAGACCAGGCTGGCCAACAGAGTGAAACCTCGTCTCTACTAAAAATACAAAAATTAGCTGAGCATGGTGACCAGTGCCTGTAATACCACTACTCGGGTGTTTGAGGCAAGAGAATTGCTTGAATCCAGGAAGTGGAGGTTGCATTGAGCTGAGATTGCACCTCTGCACTCCAGCCTGCATGACAGAGCAAGATTCTATCACACACACACAAAAAAAAAGCCATTGGATGTAAATGCATGGATTATATCTGTGTTCTCCATTCTGTTCCATTTTTTATGTGCCTTTCTTTATGCCAATGTCATGCTGTTTTGCTTACTACAGCTCTGTAACATATTTCTAAGTCAGGTAGTGTGATGCTCCTGTTTTCTCTTTATACCTTCAAGTCTCAAGACAGTGGGCATCGCACACAAAAATTATGGAGAAGAGGATCCCAAGACTCCCAGGGTCCAACATTAGATAACAGAGTGTTGGCCATGAACCAACCTCAAAGATTTCCATTGAGTAGAGGACAAGCACCCTCATTTCCTCACATCTCTCCTGTCCCGTGTTCTAGGAAACCCTTCAAGTAGTTGGCCTTCACCCACAGAACCAAGCTCCAAATCTGGTGAGTAAAGGACCCCTCTTATCTCTGCTTTTGGAAACCTGGGGAGGTGGAAGCCTTGGATGCAAGTGTTGGCTCAAACCTCCCAGCTCTGTGAATGAGGGCCTGTCTTCCACCATCTCTGAACTCCAGACACTCCAACAGTGAAAGGGATCTAGGGCCACCAAAGGGCTCAGCGAAGTCTCTTAACCTTTAATGTCCTGCAGGTGAGACCTCCTACAAGCTAGAAGAATGATTGCCAATCTGACATCCTTCTCAGGAAACATGCAGTGTTTTTTCTTCCTGCATTCCTAACTGGAGGATAAATTCCTGGGGACTTGAGAGAGGGAAGGGAAGGGAACATCTGATGAGGGCGAGGTGTTTTAGAGAAGTTCCACTTGCCAAGGAATGAATTACTGTTGGTCATGAAGCAACCCTGGCTGACTCAGCAGAGCAACAGCCTTGCCGTAATAGAGAACAGAGCTCATGCACGCACACTTCGACTCACTGACTCATTCAGCCACAGCCCCATGCTCAGGCTGTGCAGTTGGAATCCTTTCCTATTGTTGCCATAACAAATTTCCACAAGATTCGTGGGTGAAAACAAAGCGGCTTTTTAATTATCTTACAGTGCTGTAGCTCAAAGTATGAAGTGCATCTCACTGGGCTAAAAACAAGGTGACAGCAAGGCTGCCTTCCCTTGCCTGAGGATTCCAGGCAAGAATCTGCTTCTCACTTGTCCCATCTTATAAAGGCTCCCAGTTCCTTGGCTCCTGGTCCCCTTCCTCCTTCCTCAAAGCCCACAAAGGCTGGTCACATCTCACATGGCATCACTCAGACCCTTCTTCCTTACCACACCTCTTTCTCTGAATGCTGCTCTCCCTTCTTCCTTATCTTTTGAAAACTTGGGGATTCTATTGGGTTCACCAAGATGAAAATCCATCATAATCTCCTGGAAATCATTCAGGATACCCTTGTTTTAAGTTCAGCTGACTAGCAACCGTAATTCCATCTGCAATCTTCATTCCTTCTTTCCATGTAAAATAACATATTCACAAGCTATGGAGGCCAGGACAGGGACATTTTGGGGTGGGACAGCATTCTCCTGCCTTCCACGAACGGTGAACAAGATGCATTTGGCCTCTGCTCTTGGGACACTGATATTGCAGATGGTTAAATGGGAGGGCAGAAAATGAATGCACAAGTGGACCAATAAATGAATGATCCATTGGGAAGCATCTGTGTATGAAATCTATTTGTTTGTTCGTTCATTTATTTATTGAGACAGAGTCTCCCTCTGTCTTCCAGGCTACAGTGCAGTGTCACGATCTTGGCTCACTGCAACCTGCGTCTCCTGGATCCAAGTGATTCTCCTGCCTCACCCTCTCGAGTAGCTGGGATTACAGGCAACTGCCACCATGCCCGGCTAATTCTTTTTGTATATTTTTTGTAGAGAGGATGTTTCACCATATTGGCCAAGCTTGTCTGAAACTCCCAACCTCAAGTGATCCGACCATCTCAGCAACCCAAAGTACTGGGATTACAGGCGTGAGCCACTTTGCCCAGCCAGAATTCAAAATAAATAATAGATAATGCTGAGTGTATAATTTTGGGTGACAGAGAAGGTCTCACTAATCAGATATTTGTGACATTAATGAAAAACACGGATTGAACCCCTGAAAGATTGGCGGAAGGATTTTCCACACAGCTGTCAGCTGTGAAGGCACAAAGGTGAAAACAATCTGATGTTGAAGGAAGAGGCTCTGACTCAAATGCTGGGAATGAAGTGGGGAGAATGACAAGACGACTGTGGAGAGACGGAGAGCACACTGGGTACACAGGAAACTAAGGAGCAACAAGGAGTGTGTGTTTGACACTCACAGCCATTGGATTCACCTCGGGGTAACCAGGAATCCCTACATGATTAATATGACTGACATGAAAATAAGGGAGGCCCAGGTGCGTAACTGGAATCTAGGAGACCGTGGAAAAGGCAATTGCCGCCCCACTGGTGAAATGTGGTGCTGATTTAGACCCTAAGTGGATGAAGCAGATGGATATAAGCTATGTTTGGGAGGTAGAATCATTTGCAGGGAGGGCTTGCTGGGTTTGAGTTTCCTAGTTGTTTAATCCTTGCTAAATTAATTTCTTTCTGAGATTTATTCCTCCTACACATAAATCAATACCTGGCAAAGGAGTGACAGATATATGAGGGGTGGTGGAAATGAAGGGACCTATTATAGCATAATATACAAGTCTGTGAACGGTGGCTCACTCCTGTAACCCAGCACTGCAGGAGGCTAAGGCCAGTGGATTCCAAGAAATCAGGAGTTCGAGACCAGCCTGGCCAACATGGTGAAACCCTATCTCTACATGGTGAAACCCTATCTCTCCTAAAAATACAAAAATTAGCCGAGCATGGTGGTGCATCCCTGTAATCCCAGCTCCTGCTCTGGAGGATGAAGCAGGAGAATGACTTCAACCCAGGAGGTGGAGGTTGCAGTGAGTGGAGATCGCATCACTGCACTCCAGCCTGGGTGACACAAGGAGACTCCATCTCAAAAAATAAAAATAAGAAATGCATAAATATAATAAAACACACACGAATGACAAAGGCACCTGAATTCCCATCATCATTTTTCTATTTCTCTATAATTACTTCTTTGATCCTTTATCTTATCCATTAGGCAATCAGCCTAAAACCTCTTCCGTATTTGGCTTTCTGTGAGCATGAGATCATATAGAAAATGTGAAAGCCCGCTGAATCCTCCAGCACAAATCCTGGAATAGAGAAAGTGCTCTGGTCATCACAAAAAAAACTTGCCCCCTCACCCAAATCCCCCACCTCACCCCTACTTCCAATCACCTGTGGAGATACAGATAGATCATGGGGAGGTAAATGCTCATACTCCTTGGAGTGAGTCCAGATCTTGGAATCAGAGATCTGTCCCAGCACTAGCTCCTGCTCCCCTTTCCTACTAATTCACAGGAGGACAGGTGGTATTGAAGCAATAGATAGTCGAGGGGGTGGTCCTTCCCCCAGCCTCTCAGGTAGAACAGCAGCCTAACATGTGTCTCCCGAGATCACAAAGAGTAGCACATTTCACACGGGCTTCAACACTATTTTCTGGCTGTTTGACATAAGAGAATTCTACTTCGCTTTTTTTATATTGATTTCACTTTTGTTTCCTTTTCTTGGAGAATGCAAGTTGTTTAACTCAAGAATGCCGTGGATGTAGAAATCCTAAAGCACATTCGCTGTGTATCAATCCCAGTCCAGTCTTCCCAGAGAAGACTCTAAACACCTCCTGGACTGCACCTGGGCCTATGCCAATTCCTATCACTCACCGTCACTCCAGGGAGACAGAACACACAGAGAATACGTTACATAGGCAGGTTCATTACTAACAGATAAGCAGCGAGTGACAACAGAAGCCTACATTTCAATGTGAGCCAGTTCCCCAAGGCTCAGAAAAGCTGCTCGAGACATGTGGAGTCACCCCATTTGCAGTGTAGCTGGGGGAAGCCAGAAAGCAGCCCAGCCTGGGTTTTGTACCCTGGAGCCACAGGAAGCACTCAGCTAAAGCACTGCATGACGTCCTCCTCCAGGAAGAACAGGAAGACAGCCCAGGCTGTTCTGGGACGATCCTCCTGATCTCAGGACTTTGCTGTCTTAGTCCATTTTTGTTGCTCTAAAGGAACACTTGAGCCTGGGTAACTTCTAAAGAAGAGATTGGTTTGCCTCACCATTCTGCAGGCTGTACTGGAAGCATGGCACCAGAATCTATTTCTTATGATGGCCTCAGGCCGCTCCCACTCTGGCAGAAGGGAAGGAGAGTCTGTCTGTGCAGAGACCACAGAGATCACACGGCAAGAGAGGGAGCAAGGGGGAGGGGGAGCAATGGAGCTTCCAAGCTCTTTTTAACAACCAGCTCTCCAGGAACTAATAGAGAGGGAACTTGCTAACCCCGTCTCCTTGGGACAGCATTGATCTGTTCATGATGGATCCACCTCCATGACCCAAACACCTCCCAAGAGGCCCAACCTCCCACACTGGGGGTTAAATTTCAATGTGAGGTTTGAAGGGGTCAAACATCTCAACTAAAGTAGTTGTATCCTCAGCACGTTCCATGCTTACTATGAGAGCTATAACTGAGAAAGCAGGAGGAAGCTAGGTCTCCCGCCATCTGGGTGCTTGTCCGAAAGAGATGCTGTAAGTGGTTACCTGTCAATCAAGAAATGCAAGACAATTCATATAGAGAATCTGCTATGATTAGCTTCTTACTGGTGTCTCCTCTTCTTCCAGGTAACCCCAGACACCTGCATGTTCTCATTGGGACCTCAGTGGTCATCATCCTCTTCATCCTCCTCCTCTTCTTTCTCCTTCATCTCTGGTACTCCAACAAAAAAAGTAAGTCTCACGCGGCACAGGCCAGAGAGCTCAGGGCCATGTGGGGAAGCAGGATGGGAGCACACAGCTGTGTGTTCCTCACTGGCAGGATGGTCCCTGGCCCAAGGCAGCAGCCACAGAGGCAGGACTTTCTAGAGAGAGCACCAGACTCCCTGCCCCTGCCTTCAGCTCACAGACCGTTGCCTGATTCTGAACTGTATCCTCATGTCCCCCGCAGCCACTCACATCCAGGAGAAGGTTCCATGACAGGCAGAAAGTGGGAGATAGAATCAATGGGATGGGAACTCAGAGCTATTCATGGGATGGGTCCTTGAGCTCAGAGAGATAGAATGTCTGAGTCTGCTGTTGGCAACTGAGGGACCTCAGGCACCTATGGCCTCCCCCTGTTTGTTGGTATCTGCTTATGAAATGAGGACCCAGAAGTGCCCTCCGAGCTCTTTTGTTGACTTCCGTCTCCTACAGATGCTGCTGTAATGGACCAAGAGCCTGCAGGGAACAGAACAGCCAACAGCGAGGTAGGTGCTCCTCGGCCCAGCCTCGTGGCTAGTGTTATTCCCAAACAGTCCTGGAAAACGTGAGCACCCTCCCTCACTCAGCATTTCCCTCCCTCACTCAGCATTTCCCTCTCTCCAGGACTCTGATGAACAAGACCCTCAGGAGGTGACATACGCACAGTTGGATCACTGCGTTTTCACACAGAGAAAAATCACTCGCCCTTCTCAGAGGCCCAAGACACCCCCTACAGATACCATCTTGTACACGGAACTTCCAAATGCTAAGCCCAGATCCAAAGTTGTCTCCTGCCCATGAGCACCACAGTCAGGCCTTGAGGGCGTCTTCTAGGGAGACAACAGCCCTGTCTCAAAACCGAGTTGCCAGCTCCCATGTACCAGCAGCTGGAATCTGAAGGCCTGAGTCTTCATCTTAGGGCATCGCTCCTCCTCACGCCACAAATCTGGTGCCTCTCTCTTGCTTACAAATGTCTAGGTCCCCACTGCCTGCTGGAAAGAAAACACACTCCTTTGCTTAGCCCACAGTTCTCCATTTCACTTGACCCCTGCCCACCTCTCCAACCTAACTGGCTTACTTCCTAGTCTACTTGAGGCTGCGATCACACTGAGGAACTCACAATTCCAAACATACAAGAGGCTCCCTCTTGACGTGGCACTTACCCACGTGCTGTTCCACCTTCCCTCATGCTGTTTCACCTTTCTTCGGACTATTTTCCAGCCTTCTGTCAGCAGTGAAACTTATAAAATTTTTTGTGATTTCAATGTAGCTGTCTCCTCTTCAAATAAACATGTCTGCCCTCATTGCTTCAGGTAATGTGACACTGTATTCGCTGAAAGAAACCGCTGTTATCATTACCATGTCCACATAACCCCATCTGTTCTCCGCTAGGTTCTCACCCCTGGACTCTGAGCTTCTGGAAGCAGGGTGGAGCCTCATTTGTCTCTGGGACTCCAATTTCCATCCAAAGATGCAGCACATAGGAGGTTCCAAGGATCGTGAATCACATGAACAAGTGATATTCTTACTCTCTGCAACCTGGAAAGCTGGCAGAGTCATTCCACGATGAAACATTTGTAGAGTCATAAGCCTTGCTAGTCTCATCTCCACGGGGACACATATCAACACATCATATTTCATACTATAAATATACAGTCGCTCCTCCATATCTGTGGGGTTTACAGGTGTTTATTGAACCAAGTGTAAATCAAAAATATTCAGAGAAAATGTCCACAAAGTTTCAAAATGCAAAACTATGTTGAATGGACACAAATGAGGCAGTGTGTAGGCTGTATCAGGAATTATAAGTAATCAAGAGATGATTTCATGTATACAGGAGGATGTGCATGGGTTATATCCAAATGCTGTGTCATTTTATGTAAGAGGCTTGAGCATCTGCAGATTTTGGTACCTGAGTGGAGATCCTGAAACCAATCACCCACGAATAGTAAAGGATGACCGTATATGACTTTTATTTCTCAATTTTAAATATAAATCATAAAAAATGTACAATAACTAGATAAAAAGTAAGAAGTGTTTTTATAGTGTGAGAATAAGTTTAGATTTATTTTTTCCTACGTGTAACCCTTTGGTTTAATATTATTTATTGAGAAGACATTCTATGCCACCTTAAACCACACGGCAGCCTTTGTCAACTCTAAAGGGACTGTGTGTACACGGATGTATTTTAGACACTGTTTCTGCTAAGGGGCTCTCTGTGTCCACACTCTTGAGGATGCTGCACTTCATGTAGCCTTATAAAACCCTTTAAATTTAGTAGCCAGAGCCCTCTAATTTGTTATTATAGGCTACTTGCTATTTTTTTTTCTTGAGGCGGAGTCTTGCTCTGTCGCCCAGGCGGGACTGTAGTGGAGCAATCTCAGCTCACTGCAACTTCCGCCTCCCAGGTTCAGGCGATTCTCGTGCCACAGTCTCTTGAGTAGCTGGCGTTTCAGGTGCCTGCCACCAGGCATGGCTAATTTTTGAATTTTTAGCAGAGACGCGGTTTCACTGTGTTGGCCAGGCTGCTCTCAATCTCCTCATCTCAGTTGATCCGCCCACCTCGGCTTCCCAACCTGCTGGGGGAAACTTGATTTTCTATAGCATTATGTTACTGGATATTTCTGTAAAATTTAAAATGAGGGAGGCAGAGAGACAGAGAGAGAGCAAACTCCACAGTTGGGACTCTGGAATCTTGAGTCATGAGACAAATTATAGATAAAACTACAAAAATCCAGAATTTACATGTGTGGTTTTTGCTGATAAAGTACAATTCTAAGATTGTAAATAATTGCATAATCCTTCCCTGGGAATTTAAATCATTTGAACTGGTTCTGCTGTAATACTAGAAATACAAGCATGAACAATTCTAATGGTTTATTAGTCACAATGACTCTGAAAACACTAATAATACCTATTAGATATTTTGCATATTACACAGGAAGAAGAGTTCGAATCTCAGATAAAAACAATAAAAATTCATGAAAAGTCTTTCATGTTAGCACAGATTTTAGGCATCTCATGTTTGGGAGGTTGGATCTAAGACGTGTTTTGAGTTGGTCATAGTGAAGGACGCGAGGTGTCAATTCTAGTGAGAGCAATTTCCAGGAAGCCATGTTCCGCTCTTGAGCGAGCACACACTGGGCCTCATGCAAGGTAGAAAAAGCCTGCGTACGTCACCCTCCCATGATGTGGTCAACATGTAAACTGCATGGGCAGGGCGCCAAATAACATCCTGTGCGCTGCTGAGCTGAGCTGGGGCGCGGCCGCCTGTCTGCACCGGCAGCACCATGTCGCTCATGGTCATCATCATGGCGTGTGTTGGTGAGTCCTGGAAGGGAATAGAGGGAGGGAGCGTGGGGATGGAGATCTGGGCCCAGAGGTGGAGATATGGGCCTGGAGGTGGAGTTATGGGCCTGGAGTGGAGATCTGGGCCTGGAGTGGAGATCTGGGCCTAGAGATGGAGTGATGGGCCTAGAAGTGGAGATCTGCGCCTGGAGTGGAGATCTGGGCCTGGAGTGAAGATCTGGGCCTGGAGTGGAGATATGGGCCTGGAGTGGGGATAGGAACCTGGAGTGGAGAGAGGAACCTGGAGGAGAGATAGGAACCTGGAGGGGAGGTAGGAGCCTAGGGTGGAGATATGGGACTGGAGTGGAGATATGGGACTGGAGTGGAGATATGGGCCTGGAGTGGAGTTATGGGCCTGGAGTGAAGTTATGGGCCTGGAGGTGGAGATATGGGCCTGGAGTGGAGATATGAGCCTGGAGTGGAGATATGGTCCTGGAGTGGAGTTATGGGCCTGGAGTGGAGATATGGGTCTGCAGTGGAGATATGGGCCTGGAGGTGGAGATATGGGTCTGGAGTGGAGTTATGGGCCTGGAGTGAAGTTATGGGCCTGGAGGTGGAGATATGGGCCTGGAGTGGAGATATGGGACTAGAGTGGAGATAGGGGCCTGGAGGTGGAGATCTGGGCCTGGAGTGGAGATGTGGGCCTGGAGTGGAGATCTGGGCCTGGAGTGGAGATATGGGCCTGGAGTGGAGATATGGGTCTGCAGTGGAGATATGGGCCTGGAGGTGGAGATATGGGCCTGGAGTGGAGTTATGGGCCTGGAGTGAAGTTATGGGCCTGGAGGTGGAGATATGGGCCTGGAGTGGAGATATGGGACTAGAGTGGAGATACGGGCCTGGAGGTGGAGATCTGGGCCTGGAGTGGAGATATGGCCCTGGAGTGGAGATATGGGCCTGGAGTGGAGATATGAGCCTGGAGTGGAGATATGGCCCTGGAGTGGAGATATGGCCCTGGAGTGGAGATATGGGCCTGGAGTGGAGATATGAGCCTGGAGTGGAGATATGGCCCTGGAGTGGAGATATGGGCCTGGAGTGGAGATATGGGCCTGGAGTGGAGATATGGGTCTGGAGTGGAGATATGGGCCTGGAGGTGGAGATATGGGCCTGGAGTGGAGATATGGGCCTGGAGGTGGTGATATGGGCCTGGAGTGTAGATATGGGCCGAGTGGAGATATGGGTCTGGAGTGGAGATATGGGCCTGGAGTGGAGATATGGGACTGGAGTGGAGATATAGGCATGGGGTGGAGACATGGGCCGGGAGTGGAGATATGGGACTGGAGTGGAGATACGGACGTGGGGTGGAGATATGTGCCTGGAGGTGGAGATATGGGCGTGGGTTGGAGATATGGGCCTGGAGTGGAGATATGGGCGTGGGGTGGAGATATGGGTCTGGAGTGGAGACATGGGCATGGGGTGGAGATATGGGCCTGGTGTGTAGATATGGGCCTGGAGTGGAGATATGGCCCTGGAGTGGAGATATGGGCCTGGAGTGGAGATCTGGGCCTACGGTGGAGATATGGGCCTAGGATGGGGATATGGGCCTGGAATGGAGATATGGGCCTGGGTGTGGAGATATGGGACTGGAGTGGAGATATGGGCCTGATGTGGAGATATGGGCTTGGAGTGGAGATATGATCCTGGAGTGTAGTTATGGGCCTGGAGGTGGAGATCTGGGCCTGGGGTGGAGATATGGGCCTGGAGTGGAGATATGGGACTGGAGAGGAGATATGGGCCTGGAGTGGAGATATGGGCCTGGATTGGAGATATGGGCCTAGGGTGGAGATCTGAGCCTGGATTGGAGATGTGGGCCCGGATTGGCTATATGGGTCTAGGGTGGAAATATCGGCCTGGAGTGGAGATATGGGCCTGGAGTGGAGATATGGGCTTGGGGTGGGGATATGGGCCTGGAGGCTGGGTCTCTGCACAGCCGAGAGCACTGTTCTTGGGTGCAGGTAGGCACTGATGGTGAGTTTCCCTTCGGCCCAGGAAGGGGCTGGCTATCAAGACTCACAGCCCAGTGGGGGCAGCAAGGAAGGCCTTGTTTGCCTGCAAATGGATCTTCCATCATGATCTTTCTTTCCAGGGTTCTTCTTGCTGCAGGGGGCCTGGCCACAGGAGGGTAAGTCCTTCTCCAAACCTTAGGGTGTCATCTCCCCACATAAGAGGATTTTCCTGAAATGGGAGGGAAGTCCTGTCAGGGAGTCTCTCATAAACTAGGAAGAGGGGACCCTGGGGTGCTCGGCCCACAGTTCCGACCTTGCCTCCCTGGCCTCTCAACCCCTTGGCAGAGTCAAGTTGTGTGGGGACCAGGGTTGGACTAGGGTGTTCAAAGCTGGGTTGTGTGGTGGGGAAGTGGTAGGAACAGCAGATCCTCTGAGGACAAAGGTGTTACTCACACACTTCAGCGTTTCCATGACGGTAGGGGCTGCAGTGTGGCTGCTGTCATTCTACCAGAAGAGGTGGGAAACCACAGCCATGGCCCTGACATTCCAAATCCTCTGATGGGGGCTAAGTTTTTTATTCTCATTCAGGCAACTGCTGATATTCCATTCTCAAAGGACATGCCCTCCACTTCATGTCTACCCTGTGTTGTTTTATGTCAGTAATCTTACAGTATTAAAATCTAGTAGGAGTCTCTTACTCAGCACTTGCTCAAAGTTCTCAGCTGACACTTTTGTTGTACGGAGACACCTTGTCTTTGTGGGATGGGTCCTTCCTTTAGCCCTAGGCACCAAGGTGTGATAGCAGCCATAGAAATGTGGAAAGTGGGGAGAATCTTCTGAGCACAGGGAGGGAGGCACAGCTCCACATCCTCCTCTCTAAGGCGGCGCCTCCTTCACCCCAAGGTGGTCAGGACAAGCCCTTGCTTTCTACCTGGCCCAGCCTTGTGGTGCCTCCAGAACATGTGACTCTTCAGTGTCACTCTAATCTTGGGTTTAACAACTTCAGTCTGTACAAGGATGATGGGGTGCCTGTCCCTGAGCTGTACAACAGAATATTCTGGAAAAGCCTTTTCATGGGCCCTGTGACCCCGTCACATGCAGGGACCTATAGATGCCGGGGTTCACACACACACTCCCCCAGTGGGTGGTCGGCACCCAGCAACCCCCTGGTGATCATGGTCACAGGTCAGAGGGCTCCTGTCTGGGATTCTCCTTGTCCCACCTCCTGAATCCCAGAGCTTCTGGTAGGCATGTCCTTGAGGGTCCCATCACGCAGGCCCTAACTGTATTTGGGGTAAAGGGGGATTGAATACAGGGAAATGGGTGCTGTGGTGGGAAGAATAAGTGTCCCCAATGATGACTGCATTCTAATCCCTGGAGTCTGTGACTATTTATGTTATAGGGGAAGGGACTGAAGGGGAAGATGGAGCTCAGGTTGTTGATGAGTTGACCTTGAGATGGGGAGACAGCCTGGACTGTCCCGGTGGGCTCAGTATAATCACAAGTGTCCACATGAAAGGAGGAGGAAGAGGAGAGTGGGGATTAGAGCAGCGTAGTGGGAGACTCCATCAGCTTTGAAGGTGGATGAAGGCCATAAGCCATGAATGCAGGTGGCCTATAGAGGCTGGGAAAGTCAAGTAACTGATTCTCCTGAGTCTCCAGAGGGAACACAGCCCTGCAGATGCCTTGATTTTAGCCCTCAAAAAACAGGGTCCGCTTTCTGTCTCCAGAATCGGAGGGGGTCAGTGTGCTCTCTCCTGCTGCCATGCTTCTGATAATTTTCTACAGCAGCAACAGGAAACCAACACTGGAACCCAGGTCAAGGACAAGTTAAGAAAAGACACAAGGATAGCCAGGCATGGTGGCAGGTGCATGTAATCCTAGCGACTCAGGAGGCTGAGAGCAGGAGAATCGCTTGAACCCAGGAGACAGAGGTTGCAGTGAGCGTAGACCACACCACTTCACTCCAGCCTGGGCGAAGGAGTGAGACTCTGTCTCCAAAATTAATTAATTAATTAAAGAAACCAAACAAAGAGAAGGTTGGCTACACCGAGATCAGCAAGGGTGGGATGATGATGCCACCACCAGGCTCCATCCACATAGGGAGGGGTTGATACTCCTCAAATCAGCACGAGGAGCCAGCCTATGGAAACTGGCACCATGGAGAAGGCACAGACATGGCAAGAGTGGCTCCCAGTCCCCACCAGGAACAGGGTGTGTGGACACTGGTGCCTGCCTTACTGATCAGTTCATACCTCCTGCCAAGGATTCCAATTCGTCCAAAAGAGATTGAACCAGGCTGCTAAGAGCCGGGACGTGCAGCCTATCCTGCTTCCTCTTCCACTCCCACATAGACAGTAAGAAAGACATTAGTGTGAAATAGATACAACAGCCCAAGAGATGAGGCTGAGCCCAGTGGGAAGGGAACCACAGCTACTAGAGACAGAGGGACAGAGAAGAGGGAGGGAGACAGATGGAAGGACCTGCACCAGGAGTTATGGGCACAGAAAAGAACATGAAGACACAGAGAGGAAGCAGAGAGACAGACACCAGCGAAGGGAAGGCTCACTCATTCCAGGTGCCATGGATGGGATGATAAAGAGAGACACCTTCTAAACTCACAACCTCTCTTCCTAGGAGTCCACAGAAAACCTTCCTTCCTGGCCCTCCCAGGTCACCTGGTGAAATCAGAAGAGACAGTCATCCTGCAATGTTGGTCGGATGTCATGTTTGAGCACTTCCTTCTGCACAGAGAGGGGAAGTTTAACAACACTTTGCACCTCATTGGAGAGCACCATGATGGGGTTTCCAAGGCCAACTTCTCCATTGGTCCCATGATGCCTGTCCTTGCAGGAACCTACAGATGCTACGGTTCTGTTCCTCACTCCCCCTATCAGTTGTCAGCTCCCAGTGACCCTCTGGACATGGTGATCATAGGTGAGAGTGTCCAGACATTCTTCTCATTGTCATTGGGATGCAGAGTGAATGATCCAGGACTTGGAGACCCAGGTGGTTGTAAGGAAGATGAGCTTGGTATTCTTATGGAGAGAGACTGACTTGGTGAGGTCTGTGCCAACAGAGACAGAGAAACAAGAGACACAAGTACAGACCAGGTGTCGTAACAGAGGACAAACACAGGGGCCATACAGGGAGTTAGAAAAGACAGAAAGAGTTAAAGGAGACAGACAGACATGTCCCAGACAGAGGTGTCCTTCCATGCTGACTTTGCTCAGAGACCTGGCACAGGTTAGAAGTTTCATTTCTGTTTTACCTCCACAAAGTGTTCTCTACCAGGAGAACCCAAGGACACCCATATTTCTGACCTGAGTTGGGCCCTGTGGCCTCAGGCCTTGTGGCACCTACAGATGCCATGCTTATTCTGACACCTCTGACTTCCATGCAATGGAGAATAATCGTCCCAAAATATCATGGCCCCAGAACACCAACCCCTGTATGCTGTGTGAACTTGTGGTCTCCAGACTGGATTCTGAGGCTCACATTCCAAATAACCCCACATATCACATATGAGAGGATCACTGAGAAGCACAGAGAGAAATCAGGGACACCAAAAAGCAAAGACATAAACACACAGAGAAAGAGCCAGAGGAAGGAGATTGAGAGACTCACAGACACATAAAGAGAGAGAAGAGGGCAGAGAAGTGGAGAGAATGATGGAAGAGAGCAGAGAAAACCACTAAAATTAGAGTCCTGAGGGTGAGGCACAAGGGCATAGAAAGATGGAGATGTGGGGATGAATTGCAGAGATTCCAAAGAGAACTAGAGAGACCGAGAGGCAGAGCAAGACAGATGATAGATGGATAGATACAGATAGATGATGGATAGATATAGATAGATGATATATAGGTAGATGATAGATAATAGGTTATAGATACATAGATGATGATTGATTGATTCATTAATAGATGATACATAGAGATGATGATGATGAAGATAGATGGATAGATAATACATAGAGATAGAGAGGAAGACAAAGAGAGAAATAATAGAGAGAGAGAGATGATACATATATATAGATAATAGATGATTGACGGATAGACAATTGATAGATAAATAGATGATATATAGATATAGATGACAGGTAGAGAATTTGTAGATAGGCACCGAATAGATAAATAGATGGATTGATAGATAATAGATAGAAATATGCAGAAAGTTATGAACGGGACACAAACTGAGAAACTCAGAGTTAAAAAAAGTAACATCAAGTCAACCAATCCAAGGAGAGCCAGAGAGAATAAAACAATCCAAAAACGGAAAACATAACTAGAGGTAGGGAAGTGAGGTCAGAGACCTACAGAGACAGAGAAGGTGGAAGGAGGAAATAGACATGAAGAGAGATGGGGTGGAGGGTGAGACAGAGAAAGAGAGCATTAGGCCATAGAGCAGGGGAGTGAGTTCTCAGGTCAGGTGTGAGGGGAGCTGTGACAAGGAAGATCCCCCCTGAGGAAACTGCCCCTTCTCCTTCCAGGTCTATATGAGAAACCTTCTCTCTCAGCCCAGCCGGGCCCCACGGTTCAGGCAGGAGAGAATGTGACCTTGTCCTGCAGCTCCATCTATCCAGGGAGGGGGAGGCCCATGAACGTAGGCTCCCTGCAGTGCGCAGCATCAACGGAACATTCCAGGCCGACTTTCCTCTGGGCCCTGCCACCCACGGAGGGACCTACAGATGCTTCGGCTCTTTCCGTGACGCTCCCTACGAGTGGTCAAACTCGAGTGATCCACTGCTTGTTTCCGTCACAGGTGAGGAAACCCCATATCTGTCCCATGTCCTATGATCCTAGAGCCTTAGCTGAGGAGCTTCCTGCTGATGATGGAGAGAAGCATGGACAGATGCAGAGAGAAGACGCAGCATGCCTGTGAGGGAGGGATCAGGGCGCAGGATGGCACACACAGCACCTCCAAACCCTCCTGCATGGCCTGCATGGAGGCCTCCGATTAGGGCTCCAGGCACCCAGGCAGATGTAGAAAGCGGTCAGGAGAGACCCAGAGAAGGGGAGACTGGGCTCAGTTTGGGGAGATCAGAGGTTCCCTCAGCCCCTCAACCTTACCCATTTCCCAGAAGCCCTTCCTGGCCTCTCACCCACACAGAGATGTCATCACCAGCAACCCCTACATCCTTTTCTTTTTGTTTGAAAAAATATTTATTGAGGTTAAATATACCTATATAGCTTACCACTTTTAACATTTTTTTTTTTTGAGGTGGAGTCTAGCTCTGTCTCCTATGCTGGAATGCAGTGGCACAATCTCAGCTCACTGTAACCTCCGCCTCCTGGGTTCAAGCGATTCTCCTGCCTCAGCCACCTGAGTAGCTGGTACTACAGGCGCCCATCACCACGCCAGGCTACTTTTTGTATTTTTAGTAGAGAGGGGGTTTCACCATGTTGGTCGAGCTGCTCTGGAACTCCTGACCACGTGATCCACCCGCCTCAGGCTCCCAAAGTGCTGGGATTACAGGCATGAGCCACCGCGCCCGGCCACGTTTACCAATTTTAAGTGTAAGGTCTAGTGGTCATAAATACATACATATAAATTTTTTGTTTGTTTGTTTTATCCTCCACCCTTTTCTTCCTGGCCTCTGGTAGCCACCATTCTACTCTCTATCTTCATGAGATCCACCTTTTAGCTCCTGTATATGGGTGAGAAATGAGAATATTTGTAATGACTTCCAGTTCCATCCATGTGGCTGCAAATATCAGGATGTTATTCTTTCTATGGATGAGTAGTCTCCGCTGTGCGTATGTACTACATTCTCTCTATCCATTCATCCACTGATGGGCAGGTAGGTTGACTCCACATCTTGGCTACTGTGAACAGTGCTGCACCAATCATACGAGTGCAGATATCACTTCGATACATTGATTTACTTTCCTTTGGATATAAACCCAGTAGTGAAATTGCTGGATACTATGAAAGTTCTCTTTTTAGTTTTTCGTTTGTTGTTTTGTTTTTGTTTTTGAGACAGTTTCCCTCTGTGCCCAGGCTGGAGTACAAGTGATGTGATCTTGGCTCATTGCAACCTCCGCCTCCTGGGTTCAAATGATTTTCCTGCCTCAGCCTCCCTAGTAGCTGGGATTACAGGTGCACGCCACCATGCCGGGATACTTTTTGGTTTTTTTTAGTGTACATGGGGTTTCCCCAGGTTGGCTAGGCTGCTCTCAAACTCATGACCTCAACTGAGGTGCCCGCCTCGGTCTCCCAAAGTGCCGGGATTACAGGCATGATCCACTTCATCCAACCTCTTTTTAGTTCTTTAAAGGACTTCCATACTTTTCTCCGTAATGGCTGTACTAATTTACACTCCTACCAACAGGGTACCAGGGTTCTCCTTTCTCTACCACCTTGCCAGCATTTGTTTTGCCTGTCTTGCAGCTAAAAGCCATTTTATTTTATTTCATTTTATTTTGAGATGGAGTTTCGCTCTTGTCACCCAGGCTGGAGTGCAGTGGTGCGATCTCGGCTCACCGCAACCTCCACCTCCCAGGTTCAAGCGATTCTCCTGCCTCAGCCTCCCGAGTAGCTGGAATTACAGGCACACGCCACCACGCCCGACTAATTTTTGTATTTTTAGTAGAGACAGCGTTTCTCCATGTGGGTCATACTGGTCTCAAACTCCCGACCTTATGAGATTCGCCCACCTCGGGCTCTCAGAGTTCTAGGATGACAGACGTGAGCCACCTCGCCCGGCCTAAAAGCCATTTTAATGGGGTGAGATGAAAACTCACTTTGATTTTAATTCGCGTTTCTCTGATGATGAGTGATACTGAGCACTTTTTCGTATGTGGGGAAATTTCATGTCTTTTGCTCCTTTTTCAATTAAATCATTTGTTTTATTGAGTTGTTTGAGCTTCTTATACTTCTAGTTACTAATCCCGTCTCAGAAGCATAGTTTGCACATATTTGCTCCCAATCTGTGGGTTGTCTCTTCACTTTGTTGGTTTATTTTTAGCGGTGCAGAAGTTGCTTAGTTTGAGGTAATCCCAATGGTCTATTTTTGCTTCAATTACTTGTGTTTTGAAGGTTTAAAACAAAATGTCTTCCTTCAGACAAATGTCCTGGAGCATTTCCCCAATATTTTCTTCTACGTGTTTCACAGGTTCAGGCCTTAGACTCACATCTTTAATCCACTTTCATTTGATTTTTGTGTATGGTGACAGGTAGAGGTGCAGTTTCATTCCTCTGCATGTAGATGTCCAGGTTTCCCTGCACTGTTTATTGAAAAAACTGTCCTTTCCTGATTGTGAGTTCTTGGCACCTTTGTCAAAGTCCATTGGATGGGCTGGGCATGGTGGCTAACACCAGCAACTTCAGCACTTTGGGAGGCCAAGGCTGGTGGATCACCTGAGGACAGGAGTACAAGATTACTCTGGCCGACGTGATGAAACATCGTCTCCACTAAAAATATAAAAATTAGCTGAGCATGGTGGTCAGCACCTGTAATACTACTACTCAGGAGTTTGAGGCAAGAGAATTGATTGAACCCAGGAGGCTGAGGTTGCAGTGAACCGAGATTGCACCTCTGCACTCCAGCCTGGGTGACAGAGCGAGACTCCATCTCAAAAGAAAAAATAAAAAAAATTGGATGTAAATGCATGGATTATATCTGTGTTCTTCATTCTGCTCCGTTGTTCTATGTGCCTTTCTTCATGCCAACATCATGCTGTTTTGCTTACTACAGCTCTGTAACATATTTTGAGATCAGGTAGTGTGATGCTCCTGTTTTCTCTTTATACCTTGAAGTCTCAAGACAGTGGGCGTCACATACAAAAATTATGGAAGAAAGGATCCCTGGACTCCCAGGGCCCAATGTTAGATAACAGAGTGTTGGCCATGAACCATCCTCAAAGATTTCCATTGAGTAGAGGACAGACACCCGCATTTCCTCACCTCTCTCCTGTCTCATGTTCTAGGAAACCCTTCAAATAGTTGGCCTTCACCCACTGAACCAAGCTCCAAAACCGGTGAGTACAGGACCCTCTTATATCTGCTTTTGGAACCCTGGGGAGGTGGAAACCTTGGATTCAGGCGTTGACTCAGCATCTCACAGCTCTGACATTGTACGCCTGTCTTCTACCATCTCCGAACTCCAGATACTCCAACAGCGAAAGGGATCTGGGCCCAACACAGGGCTCAGTGAAATCTCTTCATCTCTCATTTTATGGAGCTGAGACCTCCTACAAGCTAGAAGAATGATTGCCAATCTGACATCCTTCTCAGGAAAAATGCAATGTTTGTTCTGCTTGCATTCCTAACTGGAGGATAAATTCCTGGGGGCTTGAGAGAGGGAAGGGAAGCGAACATCTGATGAGGGCGAGGTGTTTTAGAGAAGTTCCACTTGCCAAGGAATGAGCTCCTGTTGGTCATGAAACAACCCTGGCTGACTCAGCAGAGCAAGAGCCTTGCCGTAACAGAGAACAGAGCTCATGCACGCACACTTCGACTCACTGACTTATTCAGCCATGGCCCCATGCTCAGGTTGTGCAGTGTGGAAGCTTTTCCTATTGTTGCCATAACAAATTTCCACAAGATTCGTGGGTGAAAACAAAACGGTTATTTAATTATCTTACAGTGCTCTAGCTCAAAGCATGAAGTGCATCTCACTGGGCTAAAATCAAGATGACAGCAAGCCTGCCTTCCCTCTGAGGATTCCAGGCAAGAATCTGCTTCTCACTTGTCCCATCTTATAAAGGCTCCCAGTTCCTTGGCTGCTGGTCCCCTTCCTCCTTCCTCAAAGCCCACAAAGGCTGGTCACATCTCACATGGCATCACTCAGACCCTTCTTCCTTACCACACCTCTTTCTCTGAATGCTGCTCTCCCTTCTTCCTCATCTTTTGAAAACTTGGGGATTCTATTGGGTTCACCAAGATGAAAATCCGTCATAATCTCCCGGAAATCATTCAGGATACCCTTGTTTTAAGTTCAGCTGATTAGCAACCGTAATTCCATCTGCAATCTTCATTCCTCCTTTCCATGTAAAATAACATATTCACAAGCTATGGAGGCTAGGACAGGGACATTTTGGGGTGGGACAGCATTCTCCTGCCTTCCACAAATGGTGAACAAGATGCATTTGGCCTCTGCTCTTGGGACACTGATATTGCAGATGGTTAAATGGGAGGACAGAAAATGAATGCACAAGTGGACCAATAAATGAATGATCCATTGGGAAGCATCTGTGCATGAAATCTATTTGTTTGTTTGTTCGTTTGTTTATTGAGACAGAGTCTCCCTCTGTCTTCCAGGCTACAGTGCAGTGTCACGATCTTGGCTCACTGCAACCTGCATCTCCTGGATCCAAGTGATTCTCCTGCCTCACCCTCTCGAGTAGCTGGGATTACAGGCAACTGCCACCATGCCCGGCTAATTCTTTTTGTATATTTTTTGTAGAGAGGATGTTTCACCATGTTGGCCAAGCTTGTCTGAAACTCCCAACCTCAAGTGATCCAACCGTCTCAGCATCCCAAAGTACTGGGATAAAAGGCGTGAGCCACTTTGCCCAGCCAGAATTCAAAATAAATAATAGATAATGCTGAGTGTATAATTTTGGGTGACAGAGAAGGTCTCACTAATCAGATATTTGTGACATTAATGAAAAACACGGATTGAACCCCTGAAAGATTGGCGGAAGGATTTTCCACACACAGCTGTCAGCCGTGAAGGCAGAAAGCTGAAAACAATCTGATGTGGAAGGAAGAGGCTCTGCCTGAAATGCTGGGAATGAGATGGGGAGAATGACAAGACGACTGTAGAGAGACGGAGAGCACACTGGGTACACAGGAAACTAAGGAGCAACAAGGAGTGTGTGTTTGACACTCACAGCCATTGGATTCACCTCGGGGTAACCAGGAATCCCTACATGATTAATATGACTGACATGAAAATAAGGGAGGCTCAGGTGCGTAACTGGAATCTAGGAGACCGTGGAAAAGGCAATTGCCGCCCCACTGGTGAAATGTGGTGCTGATTTAGACACTAAATGAATGAAGTAGATGGATATAAGATATGCTTGTGAGGTAGAATCATTGACTGGAAAGGCTTACTGGGTTTGATTTTCCTACTTGTTTAATCCTCGCTTAATTAATTTCTTTCTGAGATTTATTCATCCTACACATAAATCAATACCTGGCAAAGGAGTGACAGATATATGAGGGGTGGTGGAAATGAAGGGACCTATCATAGCATAATATACAAGTCTGTGAACGGTGGCTCATGCTTGTAACCCAGCACTGCAGGAGGCCAAGGCGGGTGGATTCCATGAAGTCAGGAGTTCCAGACCAGCCTGGCCAACATGGTGAAACCCTATCTGTACTAAAAATACAAAAATTAGCCGAGCATGGTGGTGCATCCCTGTAATCCCAGCTCCTACTCTGGAGGATGAAGCAGGAGAATGACTTCAACCCAGGAGGTGGAGGTTGCAGTGAGTGGAGATTGCATCACTGCACTCCAGCCTGGGGTGACACAAGGAGACTCCGTCTCAAAAAATAAAAATAAGAAATGCATAAATATAATAAAACACACACGAATGACAAAGGCACCTGAATTCCAATCATCATTTTTCTATTTCTCTATAATTACTTCTTTGATCCTTTATCTTATCCATTAGGCAATGAGCCTAAAACCTCTTCCCTATTTGGCTTTCTGTGAGCATGAGATCACATAGAAAATGTGAAAGCCCGCTGAATCCTCCAGCACGGATCCTGGAATAGAGAAAGTGCTCTGGTCATCGCAAAAAAAAACTTGCCCACTCACCCAAATCCCCCACCTCACCCCTACTTCCAATCACCTGTGGAGATTCAGATAGACCATGGGGAGGAAACATTAATACTCCTTGGAGTGAGTCCAGATCTTGGAATCAGAGATCAGCGACAGCACTAGCTCCTGTTCCCCTTTCCTACTAATTCACAGGAGGACAGGTGGTATTGAAGCAATAGATGGTCGAGGGGGTGGTCCTTCCCCCAGCCTCTCGGGTAGAACAGCAACCTAACATGTGTCTCCCGAGATCACAAAGAGTAGCACATTTCACACGGGCTTCAACACTATTTCCTGGCTGTTTGACATAAGAGAATCTTGCTTCGCTATTTTTAATCGTGATGTCACCTTTGTTTCCTTTCCTTGGTGAATGCAATTTGTTTGACTCAAGAATGCTGTGGATGTAGAAATCCTAAAGCACATTCGCTGTGTATCAATCCCAGTGCAGTCTTCCCAGAGAAGACTCTAAACAAATCCTGGACTGCACCTGGGCCTATGCCAATTCCTATCACTCACCGTCACTCCAGGGAGACAGAACACACAGAGAATACGTTACATAGGCAGGTTCATTACTAACAGATAAGCAGCGAGTGACAACAGAAGCCTGCATTTCAATGTGAGCCAGTCCCTCAAGGCTCAGAAAAGCTGCTCGGGACATATGGAGTCACCCCATTTGCAGTGTAGCTGGGGGAAGCCAGAAAGCAGCCCAGCCTGGGTTTTGTACCCTGGAGCCACAGGAAGCACTCAGCTAAAGCACTGCATGACGTCCTCCTCCAGGAAGAACAGGAAGACAGCCCAGGCTGTTCTGAGACATTCCTCCTGATCTCAGGATGTTGCTATCTTAGTCCATTTTTGTTGCTCTAAAGGAACACTTGAGCCTGGGTAACTTCTAAAGAAAAGAGATTGGTTTGCCTCACAGTTCTGCAGGCTGTACTGGAAGCATGGCACCAGAATCTATTTCTCGTGACGGCCTCAGGCTGCTCCCACTCTGGCAGAAGGGAAGGAGGGTCTGTCTGTGCAGAGACCGCAGAGATCACACGGCAAGAGAGAGAGTAAGGGGGAGAGGGAGCGATGGAGCTTCCAAGCTCTTTTTAACAACCAGCTCTCCAGGAACTAACAGAGGGGGAACTTGCTAACCCCGTCTCCTTGGGACAGCATTGATCTGTTCATGATGGATCCACCTCCATGACCCAAACACCTCTGAAGAGGCCCAACCTCCCACAATGGGGGGTGAAATTTCAATGTGAGGTTTGAAAGGGTCAAACATCTCAACTAAAGTAGTTGTATCCTCAGCACGTTCTATGGTTACTATGAGAGCTATAATTGAGAAAGCAGGGGAAAGCTAGGTCTCCCGCCATTTGGGTGCTTGTCCTAAAGAGACGTTGTATGTGGTTACCTGCCAATCAAGAAATGCGAGACAATTCATAAAGAGGAACTGCTATGATTAGCTTCTTATTGGTGTCTCCTCTTCTTCCAGGTAACCCCAGACACCTACATGTTCTGATTGGGACCTCAGTGGTCAAAATCCCTTTCACCATCCTCCTCTTCTTTCTCCTTCATCGCTGGTGCTCCGACAAAAAAAGTAAGTCTCACGAAGCAGAGGCCAGAGAGCTCAGGGCCATGTGGGGAAGCAGGATGGGAGCACGTGGATGTGTGTTCCTCACCAGCAGGATGGTCCCTGGCCCAAGACAGGAGCCACAGAGGCAGGACTTTCTAGAGAGAGCACCAGATTCCCTTCCCCTGCCTTCAGCTCACAGACCATTGCCTGATTCTGAACTGTATCCTCACGTCCCCTGCAGCCACTCACATCCAGGAGAAGGTTCCATGACAGGCAGAAAGTGGGAGATAGAATCAATGGGATGGGACCTCAGAGCTATTCATGGGATGGGTCCTTGAACTCAGAGAGATAGAATGTCTGAGTCTGCTGTTGGCAACTGAGGGACCTCAGGCACCTATGGCCTCCCCCTGTTTGTTGGTATCTGCTTATGAAATGAGGACCCAGAAGTGCCCTCCGAGCTCTTTTGTTGACTTCCGTCTTCTACAGATGCTGCTGTAATGGACCAAGAGCCTGCAGGGAACAGAACAGTGAACAGCGAGGTAGGTGCTCCTCGGCCCAGCCTCGTGGCTAGTCTTATTCCCAAAGAGTCCTGAAAAATGTGAGCACCCTCCCTCACTCAGCATTTCCCTCTCTCCAGGATTCTGATGAACAAGACCATCAGGAGGTGTCATACGCATAATTGGATCACTGTGTTTTCACACAGAGAAAAATCACTCGCCCTTCTGAGAGGCCCAAGACACCCCCAACAGATACCAGCATGTACATAGAACTTCCAAATGCTGAGCCCAGATCCAAAGTTGTCTTCTGTCCACGAGCACCACAGTCAGGCCTTGAGGGGATCTTCTAGGGAGACAACAGCCCTGTCTCAAAACCGGGTTGCCAGCTCCCATGTACCAGCAGCTGGAATCTGAAGGCATCAGTCTTCATCTTAGGGCATCGCTCTTCCTCACACCACGAATCTGAACATGCCTCTCTCTTGCTTACAAATGTCTAAGGTCCCCACTGCCTGCTGGAGAGAAAACACACTCCTTTGCTTAGCCCACAATTCTCCATTTCACTTGACCCCTGCCCACCTCTCCAACCTAACTGGCTTACTTCCTAGTCTACCTGAGGCTGCAATCACACTGAGGAACTCACAATTCCAAACATACAAGAGGCTGCCTCTTAACACAGCACTTAGACACGTGCTGTTCCACCTCCCTTCAGACTATCTTTCAGCCTTCTGCCAGCAGTAAAACTTATAAATTTTTTAAATAATTTCAATGTAGTTTTCCCGCCTTCAAATAAACATGTCTGCCCTCATGGTTTCGGTAACGAGACTCTTTTCTTGCCTAAGGCTTCCGGTGTTATCATTACCATGTCCACATAACCCCATCTGTTCTCCATTGGGTTCTCAGCCCTGGACTCTGGGCTTCTGGAAGCAGAATGGAGCCTGATTTGTCTCTGAGACTCCAATTTCCATCCAAAGATACAGCACATAGGAGGCTCCAAGGATCGTGAATCACATGAACAAGTGATATTCTTACTCTCTGCAGACCTGGAAAGCTGGCAGAGTCATTCCACGATGAAACATTTGTAGAGTCATAGGCCTTGTTAGTCTCATCTCCACGGGGACACATATCAACATATCATCTTTCATAATATAAATATACAGTCGGTCCTCCATATCTGTGGGGTTTACAGGTGTTTATTGAACCAACAATAAATCAAAAATATTTTCAGAAAAAAATCCCCGAAGTTTCAAGAAGCAAAAAACTATGTTGAATCGACACAAATTGAGTGGCGTGTAGGCTGTGTCAGGAATTATAAGTAATCAAGGGATGATTTCATGTATACAGGAGGATGTGCATGGGTTCTATGCAATTGCTATGCTATTTTTTTTTTTTTTTTGAGACAGTCTCACTCTCTCACCCAGGCTGGAGTGCAGTGGCATGATCTCAGCTCACTGCAACCTCCGCCTCCCAGGTTCAAGCGATTGTCTTCCCTCAGCCTCCCCAGTAGCCTCCCCTAGGATTACAGGCACGTGCCACCATGCACAGATAAATTTTTTTGTGTGTGTATTTTTAGTAGAGACGGGGTTTCAGAATGTTGGACCAGCTGGTCTTGAACTCCTGACCTCGTGATCTACCCAACTCAGCCTCCCAAAGTGCTGGGATTACAGGCGTGAGCCACGGTGCCCAGCTTCGCTATGCCATTTCATGCAAGGGGCTTGAGCATCTGCAGATTTTGGTATCTGAATGGGGATCCTGGAACCAATCACCCAGGAATAGTGAAGGACCACAGTATATAATTTTTATTTGTCAATCTTAAAAATAAAGCATAAAAAGTTTACAACAACAAGATAAAAAATAAGAAGTGTCTTTATAGTGTGAGGATAAGTTTAGATTTATTTTTTCCTACGTGTAACCCTATGGTCCTGTGTTATTTGTTGAGAAAATATTCTATTCCACCTTAAACTACATGGCAGCCTTTGTCAACTATAAAGGGACTGTGTATCCACAGATGTATTTTAGACACAGTTTTCTGCCCAGTGGTTCTCTGTATCCCCTCTCATGAGGATGCTGCATTTCATATAAACTTATAGAACCCCTTAAAATTTGGTAACCTGAGTTCTCTGATTTGTTATTATAGGTTATTTAGTTTGCTTTTTTTTTTCTTTCTTGAGACAGACTCTTCCTCTGTCACCCAAGCTGGAGTTCAGTGGCTTGAGCTCAGCTCACTGCAGCCTCCGCCTCCCAGGTTCAAGCAATTCTCGTGCCTCAGGTTTAGTACTAGAAACTCATCAGGAAAATTAGAATGGCTTTTTGTCACAATTACTCTGATAATGTTAATAATACCTCTTAGATATTTTGCACATTACACATGAAGAAAAGTTTGAATCTCAGATAAAAACAAAAATACATCAAAAGTCTTTAATGTAAGCACAGAATTCAATCACCTCATGTGTGAGAGGTTGGATCTGAGACGTCTTTTGAGTCTGGTCATAGTGAAGGATGCAAGGTGGCAATTGTAGTCACAACAATTTCCAGGAAGCCATGTTCCGCTCTTGAGCGAGCACCCACTGGGCCTCATGCAAGGTAGAAAGAGCCTGCGTACGTCACCCTCCCATGATGTGGTCAACATGTAAACTGCATGGGCAGGGCGCCAAATAACATCCTGTGCGCTGCTGAGCTGAGCTGGGGCGCGGCCTCCTGTCTGCACCGGCAGCACCATGTCGCTCACGGTCGTCAGCATGGCGTGCGTTGGTGAGTCCTGGAAGGGAATAGAGGGAGGGAGAGTGGGGATGGAGATCTCGGCCTAGAGGTAAAGATATGGGCCTGGAGTGGAGATATGGGCCTGGAGTGGAGATATGGGCCTGGGTGTGGAGATATGGGCCTGGAGGTGTAAATATGGGCCTGGAGTGGAGATATGGGCCTGGAGGGGAGATATGGGCCTGGGTGTGGAGATATGGGCCTGGAGTGGAGATACGGGCCTGGAGTGGAGATATGGGCCTGGAGTGGAGATATGGGCCTGCAGGTGGAGATCTGGGCCTGGAGTGGAGATATGGGCCTGGAGTGGAGATATGGGTCTGATGTGGAGATATGGGCCTGGAGTGGAGATATGGGCCTGGAGTGGAGATATGGGCCTAGAGGGGAGATCTGGGCCTGGAGTGGAGATATGGGTCTGATGTGGAGATATGGGCCTGGAGTGGAGATATGGGCCTGGAGTGGAGATAGGGGCCTGGAGTGGAGATATGGGCCTGGAGTGGAGATCTGGGCCAGGAAGTGTTGATCTGGGCCTGGAGCCTGGGTCTCTCCACAGCTGAGAGCCCTGTTCTTGGCAGCAGGTAGCAGGGAGGCTAAGTTTACCTTCAGCCCAGCAAGGGCCTGGCTGCCAAGACACACAGTGCAGTGGGGGCAGCAGGGTGCCCTGGTTTGCCTGCAGTTGGATCGTCTATCATGATCTTTCTTTCCAGGGTTCTTCTTGCTGCAGGGGGCCTGGCCACTCATGGGTGAGTCCGTCCCCAAACCTTAGGGTGTCATCTCCCCACATAAGAGGATTTTTCTGAAACAGGAGGGAAGTCCTGTCGGGGAGTCTCTCATAAACTAGGAAGAGGGGACCCTTGGATACTCGGCCCACATTTCTGACCTCGCCCTCCCTGGCCTTTCTTTCCCTTTCCTGAGTCAAGCTCTGTGAAGACTGGGGTGAGACTGGGGTGCTCCAAGCTGGGGTGTGCAGGGAGGAAGTGGTGTCAGCAGCAGAGAAAGAGAGGGAAGCAGTGCTAGGAACAGCAGGTCCTCTGAGGACAAAGGTATAACTGACACCCTCCAGCGTTTCCGTGACGGTAGGGGCTGCAGTGTGGCTGCGGTCTTTCTACCAGAAGAGGGGGGAAACCACAGCCATGGCCCTGACATTCCAAATCCTCTGAGGGGGCTCAGTTCATGAATTGGCTGATATTCCACTCACATAGGACATGCCCTCCATGCCGTGTCTACTTTGTGTTGTTTTATGTGAGTAATTTTGCAGTATTAAAATCTAGTAAGAGTCACTTATTCAGCACTTGCTCAAAGTTCTCAGCTGACACTTGTTGTAGGGAGACGCCATGTCTATGTGGGGTGGGTCCTTCCTGTAGCCCTGGGCACCCAGGTGTGGTAGGAGCCTTAGAAAGCGGAAATGGGAGAATCTTCTGAGCACAGGGAGGGAGGGGTGGCTCCACATCCTCCTCTCTAAGGCAGTGCCTCCTTCTCCCCCAGGTGGTCAGGACAAACCCTTCCTGTCTGCCCGGCCCAGCACTGTGGTGCCTCGAGGAGGACACGTGGCTCTTCAGTGTCACTATCGTCGTGGGTTTAACAATTTCATGCTGTACAAAGAAGACAGAAGCCACGTTCCCATCTTCCACGGCAGAATATTCCAGGAGAGCTTCATCATGGGCCCTGTGACCCCAGCACATGCAGGGACCTACAGATGTCGGGGTTCACGCCCACACTCCCTCACTGGGTGGTCGGCACCCAGCAACCCCGTGGTGATCATGGTCACAGGTCAGAGGCTTTCTGTCTGGGCTTCTCACTGTCCCACCTCCTGAATCCCAGAGCTTCTGGTGGGGGTGTCCATCAGGGTCCCATCACCCAGGCCCCAACTGTATTTGGGGTCAAGGGGGATTGAATACAGGGGAAATGGGCGCTGTGGTGGGAAGAATAACTGTCGCCAATGATGGCTACATTGTAAACCCTGGAGCCTGTGACTATTTATGTTATAGGGCAGGGGACTGAAGGGGAAGGTGGAGCTCAGGTTGTTGATGAGTTGACCTTGAGATGGGGAGACAGCCTGGACTGTCCTGCTGGGCTCAGTGTAATCACAAGGGTCCGCGTGAGAGGTGGAGGAAGAGGGGAGTGGGGATTAGAGCAGTGTAGTGGGAGGGAGACGCTATCAGCCACTGTGGGCTTTGAAGGTGGAGGAAGGCCACTAGTCACAGAATGCAGGTGGCCTCTAAGGGCTGGAGAAGTCAAGAGAACTGATTCGCTGAGTCTCCAGAGGGAACGCAGCCCTGCAGATGCCTTGATTTCAGCACAGGGAGAACTGGATCCAATTTCTGTCCCCAGAAGTGGAAGGGGTCAGTGTGTTCTCTCCTGCTGCCATGTTTGTGATAATTTTCTGCAGCAGCAACAGGAAACCGACACAGGAACCCAGGTCAAGGACAAGCTAGGAAACCAAACAAGGATAGCCAGGTGTGGTGGTGGGCACGAGTAATCCAACGACTGGGGAGGCTGAGGCAAGAGAATCACTTGAACCGGGGAGGCAGAGGTTGCAGTGAGCCAAGACAACACCACTGCACTCCAGCCTGGGTGAAAAAGTGACTGTCTCAAAAATAAATTAATTAATCAATTAATTAAAGAAACCAAACAAGGAGAAGGTTGGCTACCGTGGGATCAGCAAGGGTGGGATGCTGATGCCACCACCAGGCTCCATCCACATAGGAAGGGGTTGATGCTCCTGGAACCAGCACCAGGGACCACCCTATGGAAGCTGGGGCCATGGAGAAGGCACAGACATGGCAGGAGAGGCTCCCAATCCCCATCAGGAACAGGGTGTGTGGACACTGATGTCTGCCTTACTGATGAGTTGATACCTCTGCCAGAGACTCCAATTTGTTCAAAAGAGATTGATTCAGGCTGCTGAGAGCCTGGACATGCAGCCTGTCCTCTTCCACCCCCACATAGACAGCAGGAAAGAGACTAGTGGGAAAGAGATACAACAGCCCAAGAGATGAGGCTCTCTTCACAGTGGGAAGGGAGTCAGGGGCTACTGGAGACAGAGGGACAGAGAAGAGGGAGGAAGACAAATGGAGGGACCTGCACCAGGGGATATGGGCACAGAAAAGACACGGAGACACAGAGAGGGAGGAGAGAGACAGACCTCTGGGAGGGGAACCCTCACTCATTCCAGGTGCCATGGATGGGATGATAAAGAGAGATGCCTTCTAAACTCACAACTTCTCTTTCTAGGAAACCACAGAAAACCTTCCCTCCTGGCCCACCCAGGGCCCCTGCTGAAATCAGGAGAGACAGTCATCCTGCAATGTTGGTCAGATGTCATGTTTGAGCACTTCTTTCTGCACAGAGAGGGGATCTCTGAGGACCCCTCACACCTCGTTGGACAGATCCATGATGGGGTCTCCAAGGCCAACTTCTCCATCGGTCCCTTGATGCCTGTCCTTGCAGGAACCTACAGATGTTATGGTTCTGTTCCTCACTCCCCCTATCAGTTGTCAGCTCCCAGTGACCCCCTGGACATCGTGATCACAGGTGAGAGTGTCCAGACATTCTTCTCATTGTCATTGGGACACAGAGTGAATGATCCAGGACTTGGAACCCCCAGGTGGTCATGAGGAAGATAAGCGTGAGATTCTTATGGAGAGAGACTGACTCGGTGAGGTCTGTACCAACAGAGACAGGGAAACAGGAGACATAAGTACAGACCAGGTGTCATAACAGAGGACAGACACAGGGGCCATACGGGGAAGTAGAAAAGAGAGAAAGAGGTAAAGGAGACACTCAGACAGACAGACATGTGCCAGAGAGAAGTGTCCTTCCATGCTGACTTTGCTCAGAGACCTGGCACAGGTTAGAAGTTTCATTTCTGTTTTGTCTCCACAAAGTGCTTCTACGAGGAGAACCCAAGGACACCCATATTTCTGACCTGAGTTGGGCCCTGTGGCCTCAGGCCTTGTGGCATCTACAGATGCCATGTTTATTCTGACACCTCTGCCTTCCATGCAGTGGAGCCATAATTATCCCAGGATATCATGGCCCCAGAACACCAACCCCTAAATACTGTGTGTACTTGGTGTCCCCAGACTAGATTCTGAGGCTCATATTCCAAATAATCCTACATATAATAGGATCACTGAGAGACACAGAGATAAATCAGGGACTTCAAAAAGCAAAGGCATAAACACACAGAGAATGAGCCAGAGGAAGGGGATTGAGAGACTCACAGACACACAAAAAGAAAGAAAAGAGGGCAGAGGAGTGGAGAGAATGCTGGAAGGGAGGAGAGAAAAGCCCCAAAATCAGAACCCTGAGGGAGGGGCACAAAGACAGAGAAAGATAAAGATGTGGGGATGGATTGCAGAGATTCCAAATAGAACTAGAGAGACTGAGAGGCAGAGAAAGACAAGGAGATGGAGAGAGACAGATGATAGATGGATAGATAGATATAGATAGATGATAAATAGGTAGATGATAGATAATGGATAGGTTATAGATACATAGATGATGATTGATAGATGATACATAGAGATGATGATGATGATGATGATGAAGATAGATAGATAGAAGACACATATATAAATATATAGATACATAGATGATACATAGAGACTGACAGGCAGACAGAGAGGTAATAGAGAGAGAGAGAGATGATACATAGATACAGATAATACATAGATGATTGATGGATAGACAGATAGACAATTGATAGATAAATGATACATAGATATAGATGACAGATAATTTGTAGATAGACACAAAATAGATAGATAATAGATAGAAATATGCAGAAAGTTATGAACAAGACAGAAAGTGAGAGACTCAGAATTATAGAAAAAGGAAGATCAAGTCAACCAATCCAAGGAGAGTCAGAGAGAATAAAACAATCCAAAAAGGGAAAGCATACCCAGGGGTGGGGAAGTGAGGTCAGAGACCTAGAGAGACAGAGAAGGCGGAAGGAGGAAATAGACATGAAGAGAGTTGGGGTGGAGGGTGAGAGAGAGAGAGAGCATTAGGTCATAGAGCAGGGGAGTGAGTTCTCAGCTCAGGTATGAGGGGAGCTGTGACAAGGAAGAACCTCCCTGAGGAAACTGCCTCTTCTCCTTCCAGGTCTATATGAGAAACCTTCTCTCTCAGCCCAGCCGGGCCCCACGGTTCAGGCAGGAGAGAACGTGACCTTGTCCTGTAGCTCCTGGAGCTCCTATGACATCTACCATCTGTCCAGGGAAGGGGAGGCCCATGAACGTAGGCTCCGTGCAGTGCCCAAGGTCAACAGAACATTCCAGGCAGACTTTCCTCTGGGCCCTGCCACCCACGGAGGGACCTACAGATGCTTCGGCTCTTTCCGTGCCCTGCCCTGCGTGTGGTCAAACTCAAGTGACCCACTGCTTGTTTCTGTCACAGGTGAGGAAAACCCGTGTCTGTCCCATGTCTTATGATCCTAGAGCCATAGCTGAGGAGCTTCCTGCCGATGATGGGGAGAAGCATGGACAGATGCAGAGAGAACACGAAGACTGGGTGTGAGGGGGGGGTCAGGGTGCAGGATGGCAGACAGGGCACCTCCAAACCCTCTTGCATGGCCTGCATGGAGGCCCATGGTCAGGGCTCCAGGCACCCAGGCAGATGGAGAAAGCGGTCAGGACAGACCCAGAGAAGGGGAGACTGGGCTCAGTTTGGGGAGATCAGAGGTTCCCTCAGCCCCTCAACCTTACCCATTTCCCAGAAGCCCATCCTGGCCTCTCACCCACACAGAGAGATGTCATCACCAGCAACCCCTACACTCTTTTCTTTTCATTTTCAAAAATATTTATTGAGGTTAAATGTAACTATATAATTTACCAACTTTACCATTTTTAAAAGTAAAATCTAGTGGTCATAAATACCTTTATATGCTGGGTGTGGTGGTTCACGGTTGTAATCTTGGCGCTTTGAGAGGCCAAGAAAGGTGGATCATTTAAGATCAGGGACTCGAGATCAGCCTGGCCAACATGCGGGAAATTCATCTTTACTAAACAGACAAGAAAAATTAGCCAAGCATGCCGGCATGCACCTGTAGTCCTAGCTACTTGGGAGGCTGAGGCAGGAGAAGCACTTAAAGCCAGGAGGCAGAGGTTGCACTGAGCCGAGATCATGCCACTGCACTGCAGCCTGGGAGACAGAGAGAGACTCTGTTTCTAAATAAATAAATACATCTATATTCTTTTTTTTGTTACCCTCCACCCTTCCCTTCCTGGCCTCTGGTATCCACCATTCTATTCTCTACCTTCATGAGATCCACCTTTTATCTCCTGCATGTGGTGAGAAATGGGAATCTTTGTAATGACCTCCAGTTCCATCCATGTGGCTGCAAATGACAGGATGTTATTGTTTCTATGGATGAGTAGTCTCCACCGTGTGTGTGTACTACAGTTCTCTATCCATTCACCCACTGATAGGCAGGTAGGTTGACTCCACATCTTGGCTACTGTGAACAGTGCTGGAACAGTCATATGAGTGCAGATATCACTTCGATACACTGATGTCCTTTCCTTTGGATATAAACCCAGTAGTGAAATTGCTGGACACTATGAAAGTTCTCTTTTTTTTTTTTCTTTTTTGAGAAAGAGTTTCCCTCCTTAGTCCAAGCTGGAGTCAAAGTGGTGCGATCTTGGCTCATTGCAACCTCTGCTTCCTAGGTTCAAACGATTCTCCTGACTCAGCCTCCCTAATAGCTGTGATTACAGGTGCACGCCACCATGCCTGACTAATTCTTGTATTTTTTAGCACAGACGGGATATCCCAATTTTGGGCAGGCTGCTCTCAAACTCCTGACCTCAAGTGAGGTGCCTGCCTCGGTTTCCCAAAGTGCTGAAGTTACAGGCATAAGCCACTATGCCCAGCCTCCTTTTAGTTTTTTAAAGTTTTTCCATACTTTTCTCCATAATAGTTGTACTAATTTACATTCCTACCAACAGGGTACCAGGGTTCTCCTTTCTCTACCATCTTGCCAGCATTTGTTTTGCCTGTCTTGCAGATAAAAGCCATTTTACTTTATTTATTTATTTATTTATTTATGTTGAGATGGAGTTTCACTCATAGTCGCCCAGGCTGGAGTGCAAGGGTGTGATCTCGGCTCACTGCAACCTCTGCCTCCCGCGTTCAACTGATTCTCCTGCCTCAGCCTCCAAAGTAGCTGGGATTACAGGCATGTGCCACCACGCCTAGCTAATTTTTGTATGTTTAGTAGAGAGGGAGTTTCTCCATGTTGGTCAGGCTGGTCTCCCGACCTCAGGTGATCCGCCCACCTCCGCCTCCCAAAGTGCTGGAATTACAGGCGTGAGCCACCGGCCTAAAAGGCATTTTAATGGGATGAGATGAAAACTCATCGCGATTGTAATTTACATTTCTGTGATGATGAGTGATGCTGAGCACTTTTTCATATACGTGATCGCCATTTCTATGTTTTGTTTGTGGAGAAATGTCTCCTCATGTCTTTTGCTCGTTTTTTAATTAAATTGTTTTATTGAGTTGTTTGAGCTTCTTATATTTCCAGTTATTAATCCCATCTCAGATGAATAGTTTGCAAATATTTGCTCCTATTTTGTGGGTTGTCTCTTCACTTTGTTGGTTTATCTTTGGTGGTGCAGAAGTTGCTTGGTTTGATGTAATCCTAATGGTCTATTTTTTGCTTTGATTACTTGTGTTTTGAAGGTTTTAAACAAAATGTCTTTCGTCAGACAAATGTCTTCCCCATTATTTTCTTCTACATGTTTCATAGGTTCAGGCCTTAGACTCATGTTTTTAATCCATTTTCATTTGATTTTTGTGTAAGGTGACAGGTATAGATGCAGTTTTATTCCTCTGCATGTAGATATCCAGTTTTCCCCACACCATTTATTGAAGACTGTCCTTTCTTGATTGTAAGTTCTCGGCACCTTTGTCAAAGTCCATTAAATGGGCTGGGCATGGTGGCTCACACCTGCAATTCCAGCACTTTGGGAGGCCGAGGCGGGTGGATCACCTAAAGCCAGGAGTTCAAGACCAGGCTGGCCAACAGAGTGAAACCTCGTCTCTACTAAAAATACAAAAATTAGCTGAGCATGGTGATCAGTGCCTGTAATACCACTACTCAGGAGTTTGAAGCAAGAGAATTTCTTGAATCCAGGAAGTGGAGGTTGCATTGAGCTGAGATTGCACCTCTACACTCCAGCCTGCATGACAGAGCAAGATTCCATCACACACACACAAAAGAAAGCCATTGGATGTAAATGCATGGATTATATCTGTGTTCTCCATTCTGTTCCATTTTTTATGTGCCTTTCTTTATGCCAATGTCATGCTGTTTTGCTTACTACAGCTCTGTAACATATTTCTAAGTCAGGTAGTGTGATGCTCCTGTTTTCTCTTTATACCTTCAAGTCTCAAGACAGTGGGCATCGCACACAAAAATTATGGAGAAGAGGATCCCAAGACTCCCAGGGTCCAACATTAGATAACAGAGTGTTGGCCATGAACCAACCTCAAAGATTTCCATTGAGTAGAGGACAAGCACCCTCATTTCCTCACATCTCTCCTGTCCCGTGTTCTAGGAAACCCTTCAAGTAGTTGGCCTTCACCCACAGAACCAAGCTCCAAATCTGGTGAGTAAAGGACCCCTCTTATCTCTGCTTTTGGAAACCTGGGGAGGTGGAAGCCTTGGATGCAAGTGTTGGCTCAAACCTCCCAGCTCTGTGAATGAGGGCCTGTCTTCCACCATCTCTGAACTCCAGACACTCCAACAGTGAAAGGGATCTAGGGCCACCAAAGGGCTCAGCGAAGTCTCTTTACCTTTAATTTCCTGCAGGTGAGACCTCCTACAAGCTAGAAGAATAATTGCCAATCTGACATCCTTCTCAGGAAAAATGCAGTGTTTTTTCTGCCTGCATTCCTAACTGGAGGATAAATTCCCGGGGGCTTGAGAGAGGGAAGGGAAGGGAACATCTGATGAGGGTGGGTGTTTTAGAGAAGTTCCACTTGCCAAGGAATGAATTACTGTTGGTCATCAGGCAACCCTGGCTGACTCAGCAGAGCAAGAGCCTTGCCGTAACAGAGAACAGAGCTCATGCACGCACACTTCGACTCACTGACTCATTCAGCCACAGCCCCATGCTCAGGCTGTGCAGTGTGGAAGCTTTTCCTATTGTTGCCATAACAAATTTCCACAAGATTCGTGGGTGAAAACAAAACGGTTATTTAATTATCTTACAGTGCTGTAGCTCAAAGCATGACGTGCATGTCACTGGGCTAAAATCAAGGTGACAGCAAGGCTGCCTTCCCTCTGAGGGTTCCAGGCAAGAATCTGCTTCTCACTTTTCTCAGCTTCTAGAGGCTCCCATGTTCCTTGGCTCCTGGTACCCTTCCTCCTTCCTCAAAGCCCACAAAGACTGGTCACATCTCACATGGCATCACTCAGACCCTTCTTCCTTACCACACCTCTTTCTCTGAATGCTGCTCTCCCTTCTTCCCCTTCTTTTGAAAACTTGGGGATTCTATTGGGTTCACCAAGATGAAAATCCATCATAATCTCCCGGAAATCATCCAGGATACCCTCCTTTTAAGTTCAGCTGACTAGCAACCATAATTCCATCTGCAATCTTCATTCCTCCTTTCATGTAAAATAACATATTCACAAGCTATGGAGGCTAGGACATGGACATTTTTGGGGTGGGACAACATTCTCCTGCCTTCCACAAACAGTGAACAAGATGCATTTGGCCTCTGTTCTTGGGACACTGATCTTGCAGATGGTTAAATGGGAGGGCAGAAAATGTAGGCACAAGGGGACCAATAAATGAATGATCTATTGAGAAGCATCTGTGCATGAAATCTATTTATTTATGTATTTACCTACTTGTTTATTGAGACGGAGCCTTGCTCTGTCGTCCAGGCTAGAGTGCGGTGGCATGATCTCGGCTCACTGCAACCTCCACCTCCTGGGCTGAACTGATCTCCTCCCTCAGCCTCTCCAGTAGCTGGGATTACAGACCACAACCACCACGCCCGGCTAACTCTTTTTGCATATTTTCTGTAGAGAGGATGTTTCACCATGTTGGCCAGGCTGGTCTCAAATTCCCAACCTCAGGTGATCCAATAGCCTCTGCCTCCCAACACGCTGGGATAAGAGGCATGAGCCACGGGGCCAAGCCAAATTTTCAAATCAATAATAGATAATGCTGAGTGTATGATTTCAGGTGACAGAGAAGTTCTCACTAATCAGATATTTGTGACATTAATGAAAAACACGGATTGAACCCCTGAAAGATGGGCGGAAGGATTTTGCACACACAGCTGTCAGCCGTGAAGGCACAAAGGTGAAAATAATCTGATGTTGAAGGAAGAGGCTCTGCCTCAAATGCTGGGAATGACGTGGGGAGAATGACAAGACGACTGTAGAGAGACGGAGAGCACACTGGGTACACAGGAAACTAAGGAGCAACAAGGAGTGTGTGTTTGACACTCACAGCCATTGGACTCACCTCGGGGTAACCAGGAATCCCTACATGATTAATATGACTGACATGAAAATAAGGGAGGCCCAGGTGCGTAACTGGAATCTAGGAGACCGTGGAAAAGGCAATTCCCGCCCCACTGGTGAAATGTGGTGCTGATTTAGACACTAAATGAATGAAGTAGATGGGTATAAGATATGTTTGTGAGGTAGAATCATTGGCTGGAAAGGCTTGCTGGGTTTGATTTTTTCCTGGTAGTTTAATCCTCGCTTCACTAACTTATTTCTGAGATTTATTTCTCCTGCATCTAAATCAATACCTGGCAGAGGAGGGAGAGCTAGATGAGGGGTGGTGCAAATGAAGGGACCTAGTATAGCATAATATACAAGGCTGTGAACGGTGGCTCACGCCTGTAACCCAGCACTTCAGGAGGCCAACGCGGGTGGATCACATGAAGTCAGGAGTTCGAGACCAGCCTGGCCAACATGGAGAAACCCTATCTCTACTAAAAATACAAAAATTAAACAGGCATGATGGTGGTGCATGACTGTAATCCCAGCTACTCTGGAGGAGGAAGCAGGAGAATGACTTCAGCCCTGGAGGCAGAGGTTGCAGTGAGTGGAGATCGCGTCACTGCACACCAGCCTGGGCTACACAGGGATACTCTGGCTCAAAAAATAAAAATAAAAAATACATAAATATAATAATATACACAAATGATGCAGGCACCTGAATTCCAATCATCATTTTTCTATTTCTCTATAATTACTTCTTTGATCCTTTATCTTATCCATTAGAAAATCAGCCTAAAACCTCTTCCATATTTGGCTTTCTGTGAACATGAGATCATATGGAAAATATGAAAGCCCCCTGAACCCACCAGCACAGGCCCTGAAATAGGGAAAGTGCTCTGTTCATCACAAGAAACTTGCCCCCTCACCCAAATCCCCCACCTCACCCCTACTTCCAATCACCTGTGGAGATACAGATAGATCATGGGGAGGTAAACGCTAATACTCCTTGGAGTGAGTTCAGATCTTGGAATCAGAGATCAGCACCAGCACTAGCTCCTGCTCCCCTTTCCTACTAATTCACAGGAGGACAGGTGGTTTTGAAGCAATAGATGGTGGAGGGGGTGGTCTTTCCCCCAGCCTCTCAGGTGGAACAGCAGCCTAACATGTGTCTCGCGAGATCACAAAGAGTAGCACGTTTCACATGGGCTTCATCATTATTTCCTGGCTGTTTGACATAAGAGAATTCTACTTTGCTTTTTTGATCTTGATTTCACTTTTGTGTCCTTTTCTTGGAGAATGTAATTTGAGTCAAGAGGGTTGTGGATGTAGAAACTGTAAAGCACATTCACTGTGTATCAATCCCAGTTCAGTCTTTCCAGAGAAGACTCTAAACACCTGCTGTACTGCACCTGGGCCTATGCAAATTTCTATCACTCACCGTCACTCCAGGGAGACAGAACACACAGAGAATACGTTACATAGGCAGGTTCATTACTAACAGATAAGCAGCGAGTGACAACAGAAGCCTACATTTCAATGTGAGCCAGTCCCTCAAGGCTCAGAAAAGCTTCTCGGGACATATGGAGTCACCTCATTTGCAGTGTATCTGGGGGAAGCCAGAAAATAGCCCAGCCTGGGTTTTGTACCCTGAAGCCACAGGAAGCACTCAGCTAAAGCACTGCATGACGTCCTCCTCCAGGAAGAACAGGAAGACAGCACAGGCTGTTCTGAGACGTTCCTCCTGATCTCAGGACGTTGCTGTCTTAGTCCATTTTTGTTGCTATAAAAGAACACTTGAGCCTGGGTTACTTCTTTTTTTTTTTTTTTTTTTTGTATAGTGCTTCTGATGAGCTTTTTTTTTAAATTTTTATTATTATTATACTTTAAGTTTTAGGGTACATGTGCACAATGTGCAGGTTAGTTACATATGTATACATGTGCCATGCTGGTGTGCTGCACCCATCAACTCGTCATTTAGCATTAGGTATATCTCCTAATGCTATCCCTCCCCCCTCCCCCCACCCCACAACAGTCCCCAGAGTGTGATGTTCCCCTTCCTGTGTCCATGTGTTCTCATTGTTCAATTCCCACCTATAAGTGAGAACATGCAGTGTTTGGATTTTTGTCCTTGTGATAGTCTACTGAGAATGATGATTTCCAATTTCATCCATGTCCCTGCAAAGGACATGAACTCATCATTTTTTATGGCTGCATAGTATTCCATGGTGTATATGTGCCACATTTTCTTCATCCAGTCTATCATTGTTGGACATTTGGGTTGGTTCCAAGTCTTTGCTATTGTGAATAGTGCCACAATAAACATACGTGTCCATGTGTCTTTATAGCAGCATGATTTATAGTCCTTTGGGTTTATACCCAGTAATGGGATGGCTGGGTCAAATGGTATTTCAAGCTCTAGATCCCTGAGGAATCGCCACACTGACTTCCACAATGGTTGAACTAGTTTACAGTCCCACCAACAGTGTAAAAGTGTTCCTATTTCTCCACATCCTCTCCAGCACCTGTTGTTTCCCGACTTTTTAATGATCGCCATTCTAACTGGTGTGAGATGGTATCTCATTGTGGTTTTGATTTGCATTTCTCTGATGGCCAGTCATGGTGAGCATTTTTTCATGTGTTTTTTGGCTGCATAAATGTCTTCTTTTGAGAAGTGTCTGTTCATGTCCTTTGCCCACTTTTTGATAGGATTGTTTGTTTTTTTCTTGTAAATTTGTTTGAGTTCATTGTAGATTCTGGATATTAGCCCTTTGTCAGATGAGTAGGTTGCGAAAATTTTCTCCCATTTTGTAGGTTGTCTGTTCACTCTGATGGTAGTTTCTTTTGCTGTGCAGAAGCTCTTTAGTTTAATTAGATCCCGTTTGTCAATTTTGGCTTTTGTTGCCGTTGCTTTTGGTGTTTTAGACATGAAGTCCTTGTCCATGCCTATGTCCTGAATGGTAATGCCTAGGTTTTCTTCTAGGGTTTTTATGGTTTTAGGTCTAACGTTTAAGTCTTTAATCCATCTCAAATTAATTTTTGTATAAGGTGTAAGGAAGGGATCCAGTTTCAGCTTTCTACCTATGGCTAGCCAGTTTTCCCAGCACCATTTATTAAATAGGGAATCCTTTCCCCATTGCTTGTTTTTCTCAGGTGTGTCAAAGATCACATAGTTGTAGATATGTGGCATTATTTCTGAGGGCTCTATTCTGTTCCATTGATCTATATCTCTGTTTTGGTACCAGTACCATGCTGTTTTGGTTACTGTAGCCTTGTAGTATAGTTTGAAGTCAGGCAGCATGATGCCTCCAGCTTTGTTCTTTTGGCTTAGGATTGACTTGGCAATGCAGGCTCTTTTTTGATTCCATATGAACTTTAAGGTAGTTTTTTCCAATTCTGTGAAGAAAGTCATTGGTAGCTTGATGGGGATGGCATTGAATCTATAAATTACCTTGGGCAGTATGGCCATTTTCACGATCTTGATTCTTCCTACCCATGAGCATGGAATGTTCTTCCATTTGTTTGTATCCTCTTTTATTTCATTGAGCAGTGGTTTGTAGTTCTCCTTGAAGAGGTCCTTCATATCCCTTGTAAGTTGGATTCCTAGGTATTTTATTCTCTTTGAAGCAATTGTGAATGGGAGTTCACTCATGATTTGGCTCTCTGTTTGTCTGTTATTGGTGTATAAGAATGCTTGTGATTTTTGTACATTGATTCTGTATCCTGAGACTTTGTAGAAGCTGCTTATCAGCTTAAGGAGATTTTGGGCTGAGACAATGGGGTTTTCTAGATATACAATCATGTCATCTGCAAACAGGGACAATTTGACTTCCTCTTTTCCTAATTGAATACCCTTTATTTCCTTCTCCTGCCTAATTGCCCTGGCCAGAACTTCCAACACTATGTTGAATAGGAGTGGTGAAAGAGGGCATCCCTGTCTTGTGCCAGTTTTCAAAGGGAATGCTTCCAGTTTTTGCCCATTCAGTATGATACTGGCTGTGGGTTTGTTATAGATGGCTCTTATTATTTTGAGATACGTCCCATCAATGCCTAATTTATTGAGAGTTTTTAGCATGAAGCGTTGTTGAATTTTGTCAAAGGCCTTTTCTGCATCTATTGAGATAATCGTCCGGTTTTTGTCTTTGGTTCTGTTTATATGATGGATTACATTTATTGATTTGCATATATTGAACCAGCCTTGCATCCCAGAGCCTGGGCAACTTCTAGAGAAAACAGATTTGTTTGCCTCACAGTTCTGCAGGCTGTACTGGAAGCATGGCACCAGCATCTGTTTCCTGTGACGGCCTCAGGCTGCTCCCACTCTGGCAGAAGGGAAGGAGGGTCTGTCTGTGCAGAGACCACAGAGATCACATGGCAAGAGAGGGAGCAAGGGGGAGGGCGAGCGATGGAGCTTCCAAGCTCTTTTTAACAACCAGCCCTCCGGGAACTAATAGAGGGGGAACTTGCTAACCCCATCATGTGGGGCAGCATTAATCTATTCATGATGGATCCACCTCCATGACTCAAACACCTTCCCATAGGCCCAAACTTCCACACTGGGGGTTAAATTTCAATATTTCAGTGTGAGGTTTCAAAGGGTCAAACATCTAAACTAAAGCAGCTGTATCCTCAGCATGTTCTATGGTTTCTATGAGAGCTGTAACTGAGAAAGCAGGAGAAAGCTGGGTCTCCCGCCATCAGGCTGCTTGTCCTAAGGAGATGTTCCATGTGGTTACCTGTCAATCAAGAAATGAGACAATCCATAAAGAGGAACTGCTATGATTAGCTTCTTATTGGATTCCCATCTTCCTCCAGGTATCTGCAGACACCTGCATGTTCTGATTGGGACCTCAGTGGTCATCTTCCTCTTCATCCTCCTCCTCTTCTTTCTCCTTTATCGCTGGTGCTCCAACAAAAAGAGTAAGTCTCACGAAGCAGAGGCCAGAGAGCTCAGGGCCATGTGGGGAAGCAGGATGGGAGCACGCGGGTGTGTGTTCCTCACTGGCAGGATGGTCCCTGGCCCAAGGGAGGAGCCACAGAGGCAGGGCTTTCTAGAGAGAGCACCAGACAACCTGCCCCTGCCTTCAGCTCACAGACCATTGCCTGGTTCTGAACTGTATCCTCACATCCCCTGCAGCCACTGACATCCAGAAGCTTCCATGACAGGCAGAAAGTGGGAGACAGAATCAATGGGATGCCAATTGAGAGCACTTCATGGGATGGGGTCTTGAACTCAGAGAGATAGAATGTCTGAGTCTGGATGTTGGCAGCTGAAGAGCCTCAGGCACCTACAGCCTCCCCCTGTGGGTTGGTGTCTGCCCATGAAATGAGGACCCAGAAGGGCCCTCCAAGCGGTTTTGATGACTTCCGTCTCCTACAGATGCTGCTGTAATGGACCAAGAGCCTGCGGGGGACAGAACAGTGAATAGGCAGGTAGGTCCTCCTCGGCCCAGCCTCACGGATACAGTCTTATCCCTAATAGTCCTGAAAAATGTGAGCACCCTCCCTCACTCAGCATTTCCCTCTCTCCAGGACTCTGATGAACAAGACCCTCAGGAGGTGACGTACGCACAGTTGGATCACTGCGTTTTCATACAGAGAAAAATCAGTCGCCCTTCTCAGAGGCCCAAGACACCCCTAACAGATACCAGCGTGTACACGGAACTTCCAAATGCTGAGCCCAGATCCAAAGTTGTCTCCTGCCCACGAGCACCACAGTCAGGTCTTGAGGGGGTTTTCTAGGGAGACAACAGCCCTGTCTCAAAACCAGGTTGCCAGATCCAATGAACCAGCAGCTGGAATCTGAAGGCATCAGTCTGCATCTTAGGGGATCGCTCTTCCTCACACCACGAATCTGAACATGCCTCTCTCTTGCTTACAAATGCCTAAGGTCGCCACTGCCTGCTGCAGAGAAAACACACTCCTTTGCTTAGCCCACAAGTATCTATTTCACTTGACCCCTGCCCACCTCTCCAACCTAACTGGCTTACTTCCTAGTCCTACTTGAGGCTGCAATCACACTGAGGAACTCACAATTCCAAACATGCAAGAGGCTCCCTCTTAACACGGCACTTACACACTTGCTGTTCCACCTTCCCTCATGCTGTTCCACCTCCCCTCAGACTATCTTTCAGCCTTCTGTCATCAGTAAAATTTATAAATTTTTTTTATAACTTCAGTGTAGCTCTCTCCTCTTCAAATAAACATGTCTGCCCTCATGGTTTCGATAATGTGACTCTTTATTCGCCAAAAGTTTCCAGTGTTATCATTACTATGTCCATATAACCTGATATGTTCTCTACTGGGTTCTCAGCCCTGGACTCTGAGCTTCTGGAAGCAGGGTGGAGCCTCATTTGTCTCTGGGACTCCAATTTCCATCCAAAGATGCAGCACATAGGAGGTTCCAAGGATCGTGAATCACATGAACAAGTGATATTCTTACTCTCTGCAGACCTGGAAAGCTGGCAGAGTCATTCCAAGATGAAACATTTGTAGAGTCATAGGCCTTGTTAGTCTCATCTCCACAGGGACACATGTCAACACATCATCTTTCATACTATAAATATACAGTCGCTCCTCCATATCTGTGGGGTTTACAGGTGTTTATTGAACCAAATATAAATCAAAAATATTCAGAGAAAAAATCCACAAAGTTCCAAAAAGCAAAAATACTATATTGTGTGGACACAAGTGAGGTGGTGTGTAGGCTGTATCAGGAATTATAAGTAATCTAGAGATGATTTCATGTATACAGGAGGATGTGCATGGGTTATATGCAAACGCTGTGCCATTTCATGCAACAGGCTTGAGCATCTGCAGATTTTGGTGTCTGGTAGGGAGGGGGGTTTCCTGGAACCAATCACCCATGAATAGTGAAGGACAACTGTATATAATTTTCATTCATCAATTTTATAAATAAATCATCAAAATGTATGATAATAAGATAAAAAATTAGCAGTGTTTTTATGGTGTGAAAATAAGCTTAGATTTATTTTTTCCTGCTTGTAACCCTCTGGTCCAATGTTATTTACTGAGAAGACATTCTATTCCACCTTAATCCGCATGGCAGCCTCTGTCAACTATAAAAGGACTGTGTGTACACAGATGTATTTTACACACTCTTTTCTGCTCAGTGGCTCTCTGTGTCCACTCTCATGAGGATGCTGCACTTTATGTGGCCTTATAGAACCCCTTAAAATTTGGCAGCCTGAATCCTCTAATTTCTCCTTCCTCTTTAAGATTGCCATTATTATTATTATTGGCTATTTGCTTTTCCATGTAAATTTGTAATCATTTTTCTCATTTCCACCAAAAACAATGCTTGTAATTTTGTTGTGACTCCCTTACATCTACAGGTAAGTTCTGTCCTATAGAAACATAATGCAAACCACATGCATTCTTTCAAACTTGCTAGTATCCAAATTAAAAAGCTAACAAGAAACAGATAAAATTAATTTAAGTTAACCCAATGGACCCAAAATATTATTAACCCAACAGACCCAAAATATTAACCTAATAGATCCAAAATATTATTTTATTATACAAGTAGACTCAAAATATTATCATTTCAACATGTAATCATGTGTCATCTTGGAAAACATCAGATCCCTGTCTAGGTGGGCAAAGATTTTTCTTCGTAATATCTCATTTCCACATTTCCACTTGGCACAGAAACTGCCCCCAAGGCTCAGGATACTAAGATGCAGTAGGAATGGGTAGATGTATCTGGAGGAAAGTGACTGAATGAAATTGAGACATCAGAGTCTGGGGAACTCACTAGAACTACAGGGACAGTGTGGGGGAGGGAATTGGGAGATGTTGATCAAAGGATACAAACTATCAGGTATTCAGGAGGAATGGGTCTGAAGATCTCTTGTACAGCTTTGCCACTATGGTTGACAATACTGTACTCTATACTTGAAATTTACCAGGAAAGTAGATTTTTTTTTTTAAATATGGAACACTTCACGAATTTGCGTGTCATTCTTGCGCAGGGGCCATGCTAGTTTTCTCTGTATCGTTCCAATTTTAGTATATGTGCTGCCGAGGCAAGCATGGGAGAGTAGA